>NC_000012.12:76096491-76248006 GCF_000001405.40 Homo sapiens
GGGAAGTAAGAACTTGCTTTGTGACAGGATAGGATTTCTGGCAAGAGAATAGCTGTATGAAAGAAGTTTTGGACTGATTGTTCAAGGCTGTGTGGAAAATACATTGCAGAATACACTACTCAAATGATAACTTCCACCTTTGGCTGGGCGTGTATTTCACATACAGAAAAACTCTAGCAAAGCCATCATTAAATGTATTGATATCAAATGTTTGTCAGTTTCATTTGGGCCTATTCATCCTCACTACCTTCAGGAGTTAAAACTGAACCTCTATTAGAAATATCACTTCTAGGCCACACGGGGTGGCTCACGCCTGTAATCCCAGCAGCTTGGGAGGCTCAGGCAGGTGGATCACATGAGGTCAGGAGTTTGAGACCAGCCTGGCCAACATGGTGAAACCCTACCTCTACCAAAAATACAAAAATTAGCCGGGTGTGGTGGTGCACATCTGTGGTCCCAGCTACTCGGGAGGCTGAGGCAGCAGAGTCACTTGAACCCGGGAGGCAGAGGTTGCAGTCAGTGGAGATCGTGCCACTACACTCCAGCCTGGGAGACAGAGCAAGACTCTGTCTTAAAAAAAAACAAAAAACAAACAAACAAAAAAACACACACACAAAAAGGAAAAAAAAAAAAAAAAGAAATACCACTTTTTAGTAATGAAAAAAATACAATACATAGTTTCCCACAATCAGGGTGGTATTATGTATACAGGTCATGAGCCAGATTAAACCTATTCTAAAATCATATGAAAAAATTATTTTGGGCTGGGAGCAGTGGTTCATGCCTGTAATCCCAGCACTTTGGGAGACTGAGGTGGGCAGATCGCTTGAGTCTAGGAGTTCAAGACCTGCCTGGGCAATATTGTGAAACCTCATCTGTACTAAAAATACAAAAACTAGTTGGGCATGGTGGTGCATGCCTGTGGTCCTAGCTACTCGGGAGGCTGAGGTGGGAGGATCACCTGAGCCTAGGAGGTCGAGGCCGTAGTGAGCTGTGAGTGAGCCATTGCACTCCAGCCTGGGCAACAGAGTGAGACCCTGTCAAAAAAAAAAAAAAATTGAAATAAAATAAATAAAAAATATTTTAGAAACATTTTTGAAAAATATGTTACAAAAATCCAGGAGAGAGTAACTGAAACAGTAGGAGTTGAGGCAGCAAATGCTACCATTAACTATGTGTTGAGTATTTTTCTAAATTGCCTGAATGCTTTATCTCATTTAACTCTCATAACAACCCTGTGAAGTAACTACTACAGTAGTCCCCCCTTGTCCGCGGAGGAAATCTTCCAAGACCTTCAGTGAATGCCTAAAACCAATGAATAGTACCGAACCCTATGTATACTATGTTTTTTCCTATGTGTACATACCTGTGATAAAGTTTAATTTATACATTAGAGTAAGGGATTAACAATGATAACTAACAGCCAGGTGCGGTGGCTCACACCTGTAATCCCAGCACTTTGGGAGACCAAGGCGGGCAGATCACAAGGTCAGGAGTTCAAGATGAGCCTGACCAACATGATGAAACCCTGTCTCGACTAAAAATACTAAAATTAGCCAGGCGTGGTGGTGCGCGCCTATAATCCCAGCTACTCAGGAGTCTGAGGCAGGAGAATTGCTTGAACCCAGGAGGCGGAGGTTGCAGTAAGCCAAGATAGCGCCACTGCACTCCAGCCTGGGCGACAGAGCAAGACTGTCTTAAAACCAACAAAAAAAACCACTATGTATTACCTACAGTAAGTGGCTAAATGTCACTTGTTTCAGGAGATCCCATGCTGAAGTCTTTATACAGCCTCAAAGCTTTCTGGCACAACATGTTTTCTGTCCATGTCTTCCACCCATACATTTAATGCCTTCTCCATCTTAACTAAGCAGTTATGCACTGTAATAAACTTTTGTAGTTTGAGGTGCGACAGCAAAACAAGCACAAATTCTTTTTTCCTTCTTCGGAATTTCACGTTTAGATTCATTCTTACCATAACAAACACTTTTTTAACCTATGATTCTTTTACTCATTAATTTGAAAACTTTTACCTTTTCATTTTACAACTTCCCTTTCGCATATCTGAATTGCATCACTATTCTTGCACTTTGGGGCCATATTTAAGTCAAATAGGGATACTAGAAAAAAACACTTCAATACCACAACAATCTACTACAATTAAGCTACAGCCTAGTGGGGAGAGCAGATTCCACAGTGTGGATATGCTGGACAAAGGGATGATTTACATCTTGGGTGGGACAGGGTGGGGAAGCATGAGATTTCATCATCCTATTCAGAATGATGCACAATTTAAAATTTTTGAGTTGTTTCTTTCTAGAATTTTCTTTTCTTTTCTTTTCTTTTTTTTTTGAGACTGAGTCTCGCCCCGTTGCCCAGGTGCAATCTTGGCTCACTGCAACCTCAGCCTCCCGGGTTCAAGCAATTCTCCTGCCTCAGCCTCCTGAGTAGCTGGGATTACAGGCACGCGCCAACTACGCCCGGCTAATTTTGTATTTTTAGTAGAGACGGGGTTTCACCACATTGGTCAGGCTGGTCTCAAGCTCCTGACCTCGTGATCTGCCCGCCTCAGCCTCCCAAAGTGCTGGGATTACAGGCATGAGCCACTGCACCTGCCCAGGAATTTTCTATTTAATGTTTTCAGACTGCGGTTGACCACAAGTAACTGAAATCACAGATAAAGGGAGACTACTGTATTGTTCTCACTGTTTTATAGATGAGGCAACTGAGGTACAGAGAGGTTGAGTAATTTACACAAAGTTGCAATCAGTTTAGTAACTGTCAGATCCAGGGTTCAATGACATCAGGTAATTCCAGTTTTCTTCCTTGTTGTCTTTGATACAGAGTCTTGCTCTGTCACCCAGGGTGGAGTGCAGTGGCTTGATCTCAGCTCATTGCAACCTCTGCCTCCTGAGTTCAAGCAATTCTCCTGCCTCAGTCTCCCCAGCAGCTGGAAAACAGGCACCCACCACCGTGCCTAGCTAATTTTGTATTTTTACTAGAGATGCGGTTTCACCATATTGGCCAGGCTGGTCCTCGAACTCCTGACCTTAGGTGATTTGCCCGCCTTGGCCTACCAAAGTGTTGGGATTACAGGCATGAGCTACCGCGCCCGGCCAAATTCCAGATTTCACAGAAAAGAGTGATCCTATTTGTACTTCAATTAATTTATTAATTCAACAGATGGTCTAGTATGGCCTAGATCGGTGACTACAGATGCATATACCTATAGGGGCCATTCCAGAAACATATCGTGTGAAGTCAGCCAAGCGTAAGACAGTGGGGAGCAATAAGAATTATGAATAACAGGAGACCATAAGCTTTGTTTAAAGGGGGAAGCTGGGCAGGGCACAGTGGTGGACACCTATAATCCTAGCTATGATCTCACCACTGTACTCTAGCCTGAGAGAGTAAGACCCTGGCTCTAAAAAATAATAAATAAATAAATAAATAAATAAATAAAGTAGGGGCAGCTACCAACCTCAGTTGTTGTTACATGGGGACAGTATTCTCACATTTTCCAATTTTTCAAGAGATACTGGAAAAACATATTTTTATATGAATATATAATCTTCCATATGAATATATATGAATACATAAAATCTTCCAATTTGGGAGAAACAGTGTATAAAATGAGTTCTGTTCTGGACATGCCACATTTTCACTAGCTGTAGATTGTCCAGCAGTTAGAAATTTGACTGTACAGTTCACGAAAATTACTTGTGAAGCAAGCACAGATTCAGAAATATTTAGTGTGCATGCAGAAAGGAGAGCTATTCATGGAAAAGGTGTAAATTAAGAAGAAAATAAGAGGGTCGGGCGTGGTGGCTCATGTCTGTAATCCCAGCACTTTAGGAGGCCGAGACAGACGGATCACCTGAGGTTGGGAGCTCAAGACCAGCCTGGTCAACATGGTGAAACCCCGTCTCTACTAAAAATACAAAAAATTAGCCTGGTGTGGCGGTGGGCCCCTGTAATCCCAGCTACTCGGGAGGCTGAGGCAGGAGAATCGCTTGTGGAGGTTGCAGTGAGCCGAGATCACACCGCTGCACTCCAGCCTAGGCTACAGAGCAAGACTTTGTTTCAAAAACAAACAAACAAAAGGAAGTGTTTTAGTTCCATTTTTCCAACTTCAGTGGTATTTTATTATCATTAAAATTATTATTTTATCTCTTCAGGTGTTCTTTTTTGGTATTGTTTGCTCTTAGGACATTTTGAAACTTCTGAGATAGTTAACAAATTTCCTCAGAATCACCAATAACAAAAACTATAATTTTTGTGGGAAAGCAATACCCATTTAGGTTTATAATTATATACAAAGCAGAATTCTTCATATCTACAAGTTAAAACTTGGTTCACATATTAAAAATTATTTAGGTGGCATGTACCTATAGTCCCAGCTTCTCAGGAGGCTGAGGCACGAGGATCCCTTAAGCCCAAGAGTTAAAAGAGCAGCCACGGCAACATAGTCAGACCCCATCTCAAATAATAATAATAATTTATAGCTTAGCTCAGACACAATTTGTTTTTCTTTTTTCTTTTCTTTTCTTTCTTTTCTTTTTTTTTTTTTTGATACCAAGCCTCACTGTCACCCAGGCTGCAGTGCAGTGGCACAATCTCGGCTCACTGCAACCTCCGCCTCCCGGATTCAAACATTCCTCCTGCCCCAGCCTCCCGAGTAGCTGGGATTACAGGCACCTGCCACCATGCCCAGCTAATTTTTGTATTTTTAGTAGAGATGGGGTTTCACCATGTTGGCCAGGCTGGTCTTGGACCTCAGGTGATCCACCCACCTCAGCCTCCCAAAGTGCTGAGATGACAGGTGTGAGCCACCGCACCCTGCCTTGTTTTTCTTTTTTTGAGCAGAGTCTCACTCTGTCACCTAGGCTTCAGTGCAATGGCATGATCAGGGCTCACTGCATCCTGGACACCTAGGATCAAGCGATCCTTCCACCTCAGCCTCCCAAGTAGCTGGGACTACAGGCTTGAGCCACCAAGCCTGGCTAATATTTTAAATTTTTTGTAGAAATGGATTTTGCCATGTTGCCCAGGCTAGTCTCAAACTCCCAGCCTCAAGCGACCCTCACATGTCGGCTTCTCAAAATGCTGGGATTGTTGGCATGAGCCACCTCACCTGGTTCAGACACAATTTTACAATGAGTATAGGATACTTTCATGAGCAAGGAAGATAAAGGATCCTATCTACTTGTTGGGTTCCAGGGAACTGGTAAGTAAAATGTATTTTTCCTGCCTGAGTTTGAAACCAACTGGAGAAGAGATTCAGGGGACAGACATATGGAAATCAAAATATCACCTTTCTTACAGATAAGAAAGGTTGGAGAACTTGGCTTTGTATCTGCAGTGGACTTCACCTCTGACTAACAAAAGCCCCCCTGGGCAGGCACATTCCTCCCCTTCCCCTACAGCAAAGCAGAATGCAGACCTGGACAGGCAAGTTTGAAGAAAAGGGAATCCAAGAAGAGACTGGGCTTTCTTGCCCATTTTTCCCTCCAAACTCCCCAGGCAGATACATCATTCCTTCTGCCCTAGGGATAAAGCCCAATCAGTCCAGGAAGGAGAATACCCCTTGGCAGAGACTATTATTTACCCACCAGAATTCATTCTCTTCTCCTTCTGGGCACATGGCTGCCTTCCTGCAATACAGTCCCCAGTCTTCTGAACATTGAGCTGTAGCTGTATTACTAAGCTCTTACCAACAGAGCATGAGTAGAAATGATGTGTATGCTCCTCAGCTTGGGTTTTAACACAGTTGATAATGCCTTCTCCATGTCCTCACTGCTTTTCCCACTGTATAGCCTGGCTTTGTGGCTAACAGTCTTCAAAAGTGCCGATGAGGACATGCCCCAGGGAGTGATGTAATCCCAGCACTTTGGGAGGTCGAGGCGGGAGGATTGCCTGAGCTCAGGAGTCCAAGACCAGCCTGGGCAACATGATGAGACCCTGTGTATTTTTAAAAACAAGAAAAAGAATATTTAAAAAAGAAAAAATAAGTAAAAATAAATTCAATGAGGTTGTGTAATAATAAATGGTTCCTTTACTATTGGCTGATGTTTTTGATCCTGTCTTCCTGTCCTCCTGCCTGTGACGTCTGGATCCGCAGAAGGAATGGAATAATGAGAACTAGCCCTCCATGAAAATGAAATGTTACTTTAGATTTGCCAAAAGATTCCAACTTCCTGAAATTCTCCCCTCCACTAATGGTCTGCTGTGATAGGCTATTCCTTTTCTGATGGGTCTGAGACCTGTCCCTCATCCCACCCCCATTCGAATTATTCTGAGAGGCCAGGCACAGTGGCTCACGCCTGTAATCCCAGCACTTCGGGAGGCCGAGGAGGGAGGATCATTTGAGGTCCGGAGTTTGAGACCAGCCTGGCCAACATGGTGAAACCCCATCTCCACTAAAAATACAAAAATTAGCCAGTTATGGTGGCAGGCACCTGTAATCCCACCTACCCAGGAGGCTGAGGCAGAAGAATCACTTGAACCCAGGAGGCAGAGGTTGCAGTGAGCCAAGATCATGCCACTGTCCTCCAGACTGGGAGATACAGCAAGACTCAGTCTCAAAAAAAAAAAAAAAAGAATTATTCTGAGAGTGGGACAATATAATTGACTCCAGAAGGTCTCTGCTACAATACATCTAAAGAGAAGGGAAGAAGAAGGCCCAGATATTTATTCTGTTGGGTGTCTTTTGGGGTTTTTTTGGTGGCTGTTTTCCTGCTATTGGAACTTGATATGCTTCCCATTTCTAGTTAAATGGCTAAGAGCTCTACTCCCTGAGGCTTGGGCTATTGCTATTGTCTGTGTATGTGGAGTGTGTGTGTGTGTGTGTGTGTGTGTGTGTGTGTGTACGAGGTCATCACTGCTAGAACGGTGCACTAGCATAGTTTGCTTTAACATTTTTTTCTAGGGATAAAATGCAGGGTCCCAAGTGGTAAAGGGGTGCCTAGCTTTAATAATCTGTTTTCTGCCCCAGTTCATAAAAAATATTGCCCCAGAAACACAAGTTCCCAACATTTATGGATTGCCTATGTCACAGGGGCCAGTGGGAAAGGATCTCTGAGCAACTGCTGAGAATCAGAATTGCAAAATTGGTGACCAATAAGTAAGGTATGCATTTGACAGCAGCCTTCACTTGGCCCCTTATCTGATAACATTCTCTCCATCCAAAGTGCCCAATCTTCTATCCTTCTTATGCATTCTCAAAAAAAAAAAAAAAAAAAAAGATTCCATGAAGAAAGATGGCCTCTTCAACGTCTGATAAACCTCCTGAGCTCTGAGGATTTTCTGTCATACTCAGACTTTACCGAGAAGTTTCCCCTTCTATGACACTTCAGTAGATTGGCTGATGCCAGTCTTGTCAACCTTTTGGGAATGGAGATGAAGGTAGGACTGGTCAGCCACTATTGTTTCATATCTTTGAAAACAAATAGATACAATTTCAGAAAAATTTTCCAGACCAAGTTACAATTAGCAATTGAGACTACCAAAAGCTATTTTGTTAATCTATTTTTAAAACACTGAATTAGATCAAAATAGCAAACATTTATTGAGCTCTTACCATGTGCCAGGCACTGTTCCAAATGTTACATATATGCCTCACTTAAGTTTTACAACCCCTTGAGGTAGCTGCTGTTGTTATCATTCCCATTTTAGAGATGAGGAAGCTGAGGTTAAATTGCTTGCCCAAGGTTGCACAGCTACTAAATACTAGCTCAAGATATCTAAAAGTGGCTCATATGTGGGAAGCACTATTATCATTATTTTCTCTAGCGGAAAGACTGTAGAGTATGGTGAACAGTATGCAGGGCTTTGGAATTAGATATAACAGGGTTTAAATACCTATTATCCCCAGACCAGCCAAATCGTTTGAAACAAGTTAATTCATCACTGTGAACTTTACTTTCCTCATCTGCATTTTGAAAATAATAATGACTCCCTCATGAAACTATTGTATAGATTTAATAAGACAATCTATAAAATACTTCATAGACAGTCTGTTAACATAGCACTATTTATTGATTGATTGATTGAAACATGTTCTTGCTGTGTTGCCCAGGCTGGTCTTGAATTCCTGGGCTCAGGTGATGCTCCCACCTCAGGCTCCCAGAGTGTTGGGACTACAGGATTATAGGTGTAAGCCATCATGCCCGGCCTTTTTTTTTTTTTCTTTTGCAGTGATACTGTCACAGCTTACTGCAGCCCTTGACTTCCCAGGCTCGAGTGACCCTCCTACCTCAGCCTCCCAAGTAGCTGGGACTACAGGCAAGCACCACCACATCTGGTAATTTTTTTTCTTTTAGTAGAGATGAGATTTCACTATGCTGCACAGGCTGGTCTGGAACTTCTGAGTTCAAACGATCCTCCCGCCTCCTCCCACAGTGCTAGGATTACAGGTGTAAGCCACTGTCCAAGCCTCTCTGGTTTCTTATAACAAAAGTTGTCCTAAGAAACAATCAGACCTATTGAGGAGTTGCTGACAAATGTCTTGCTGGTCATTACTCCCAAACTTGAAGAGTTGTACTCTGTAGGTAGTTTGCAACTTTTTTTTTTTTTTCCTGAGACAGTTTCGCTCCCGTTGCCCAGGCTGGAGTACAGTGGCACGAACTCAGCTCACTGTAACCTCTGCCTCCCGGGTTCAGGCGATTCTCCTGCCTCAGCCTCTTGAGTAGCTGGGTCTACAGGTATGCGCCACCATGCCTGGCTAATTTTGTATTTTTAGTAGAGATGGGGTTTCACCATGTTGGCCACGTTGGTCTGAAACTCCTGACCTCAGGTGATCTGCCCACCTCAGCCTCCCAAATTGCTGGGATTATAGGCGTGAGCTACCACACACACCCGGCCTTTCTTTTTTTTTTTTTTTTGAGATGGAGTTTTGCTCTTGTTGCCCAGGCTGGAGTGCAATGGAGCAATCTCAGCTCACTGCAACCCCCATCTCCAGGGTTCAAGCGATTCTCCTGCCTCAGCCTCCCAAATAGCTGGGATTACAGGCACGCACCACCACGCCCAGCTAATTTTGTGTTTTTAGTAGAGACAGGGTTTCACCATGTTGGTCAGGCTGGTCTCAAACTCCTAACTTCAGGAGATTCACCCACCTCAGCTTCCCAAAGTGCTGGGACTACAGGCGTGAGCCACTGTGTCTAGCCAAGTTTGCAACATTTTAACAGAGCCCTTAAGCAGATCTAAAAGGTATCTCAATTTATTCACCACCTTGGGAGGTGCATTTTCTTTACTTGACTCATCTGGCAGTCCATCAAGATGACATAGTTTTCTGCTGCTCTTTCTTGTTAGGTGGCACTTGGAACCTCAATCAAGTACTTATTTAAGCTTTTTTTTTTTTTTTCTGAGATGGAGTCTTTTTTTTAATTATTTTTATTTTTTTGAGATGGAGTCTCTCACTCTCACCCAGGCTGGAGTACAGTGGCCTGATCTCAGCTCACTGCAAGCTCCACCTCCTGGGTTCACGCCATTCTCCTGCCTCAGCCTCGTGAGTAGCTGGGACTACAGGCACCCGCCACCATGCTTGGCTAATTTTTTGTATTTTTAGTAGAGATGAGGTTTCACCATGTTAGCCAGGATGGTCTTGATCTCCTGACCTTGTAAACCGCCTGCCTTGGCCTCCCAAAGGGCTGGGATTACAAGCATGAGCCACCGCACCCGGCCTGTTTAAGTTTTGATAAAAGAGTTTGACTATATCCCCAAGCACTCTTGCTGTCTGTACTTCTGATTAATTGAATGAAAATACTGTTTGGATAAAAAGTCTGGATGTTTTTCTTTCCTAGTAGAACTAATTTGCTCCCTACTACCTGGTATCTAAAACATACTCTCCCCTTAGCTATCAACATAACATTTCTCCATTTCCCATACTGACCTGAAACATTTAGTTAAGAATTGACTGAGAGATGCCACTTGCATAATGCTTACTTAAGGTCTTGAGATTGGGAAAAAACTGATTTATCATTATGGTTATTATTGATTCTTTCAAATCCCTCTAGTTTTGCTTCAATATTGCTGGTGAATAATACTTGAGCATTTACTTATTGTTAGGAGGATAACACAAATTATCTCATTAATTTGAACATTTATGATTAGGGATTAGTGTCACAGTTGACAGACATGGAAACAGGCTCAGAGGGAGTAAGTAAATTGCCAAGATTACACAGCTTCTAAATGGTGCAGCCAGGATGCAAACCCAGATCTTTCTGACTCAAAGCTTAAGCAATTAACACTAAATGGTCTTCGTTAGCTGCTATCAATGCACCTGGGCCATATAATTTGTTATCTGCGACAACATTCTTATTAGTTAAATGTAATATAAACTTTTACAGAGGGTCATAAAATAATTCATTTGAATAGCCATTTGGTTGTCCTGTGAAACCACAGATGTGGTCATTTCTGTTACTCAATGTCTTTGAGTTTAGTTCAAGAAAAACTGTCTCTACGTGCATGCTTTTTTAGTTAGAAGAAAAGTTACATAGACCAATATGGTTTTCCTTAATCCTTAACTGCCTAGAAACTTTGCCAAATTCATTGTTCAGCTATCGCAATGAACTTATCTCAGGTGCTTAGTGATATCATTTGTTTACTCAACATACGATTATTATATTTATGAGGTCTATTTTATGCCAGAGGTATAAACACTCTGGGGATATAGAATATGGTGAACATAATAGAAATTTCCTCAGGTAGCCCATAGTCTAACAGGACGGAGAAAAAGTACATAAATAACAACAGAAATGATTGATCCTAATATGACAAGAGCCACAAATAGTAAATAAATGTTAGCATGATCTGTGCAGGCAATAGGCTTGCTTTAATGAACTGGTTAATAAAAAGAATATCTGGAAGCAAACTTTGTGATTCACGTGGCAATTCTATTATACGCTTATATCTCATTGTATATAATTTCATAGTAAGTACATTAGAAAAAAACATTAAAATAAATAAGAGGCATAAATATCCCTTTTACTTGTAAGGGAGCACCTAATAAGTATTCTTGCACTCATTTTTTTCTTTCAGTATAACTATAATTTTAAAAATTCATCTCTTAAATATATAAAGCAGTTTTGCTATAATAAAAATGAAAATTGAGTTGAAAAGATGTCATTTCTTTTGGCATCTGCATTATTAATTTGGAAAAGATAAAGACTAATAGAGTCTTGACCTGTGTAGAAGACTGACAAGCAAAGATTTGTGAAATAATTAATTCTTACATCAGAAAGTTATCCTCAAAAGATGATGAAGATAAACCAGCAGTTCCTGCCTTTGAAAGCTTTAGTCCATTGTCATCATTAAAAGCTGATAGAAAAAAATACCATCAGGGGCTAAGGATTTGTTGAAATTAATTTTAAGACTTTCTTTTCCGGCTGGGCATGGTGGCTCGTGCCTGTAATCCTAGCACTTTGGGAGGCTGAGGCCGGTGCATCACTTGAGGCCAGGAGTTTGAGACCAGCCTAGCCAACATGGTGAAACCCCATATCTACTAAAAATCAAAAATTAGCTGGGCATGGTGGCACATGCCTATAGTCCCAGCTACTCAGGAGGTTGAGGCAGGAGAGTCACTTGAACCCAGGAGGCAGAGGTTGCAGTGAGCCGACATCACACCATTGTACTCCAGCCTGGGTGACACAGTGAGACCCTGTCTCAAAAAAAAAAAAAAAAAAAAAAAAGACTTTCTTTATGATAGGTCCCCCGAAGTTGGGTAAATATGAATTAATTTTCATATGGGTCAGTCAGTAGTCAGCAGATACAGTTGTTAGCACATTAGCAACAAGAATAGGAAACTGGTCACAATGACGACTCCATCTCCTTCACAACTGTCTTCACTGCCCCTGCCTTGCTGTGTTCTACAGAATTTAAGAGAAGCTGAGGGTGCTAATTTACCTTAGCTGGTACTTTCCCCCTGTGCTTCCTTTATGTTCAGAAGTGGAGAAGGGAAGAGGCTATAAAAATAGAAATGGCTCTGAGGTGTGGCCTCCAAGGACTGATTTTTTTACAGACAAGGTCTTGCTCTGTCACCCAGGCTGGAATGCAGTGGTGCAATCATAGCTCACTGCAGCCGGGACCTCCCGGGCTCAAGCAATCCTCCCGTCTCAGCCTCCTGAGTAGCTGGAATTACAGGTGCACATCACCACACCTGGCCAGGACTGACTCTTAAGAAGGACCAACACTTCTACCCAGTAACCAGGACCCCCTTGCCAGCCCTTCACTGCCAGATCCATCTGCCTGAATGCCACCAGAAATGCATTTGATGCTGGGCACGGTGGCTCTTGCCTATAATCCCAATACTGTGGGAGGCTGATGTGGGAGGATTGCTTGAGGTCAGGAGTTCAATATCAACCTGGGCAACATAGCGAGATCGTGTCTCTACAAAAAATTTTAAAAATAAAATTTAGCTGGACCTGGTGGTACATGCTTGTAGCCCCAGCTACTCGGGAGGCTGAGGTGAGAGTATTGCTTGAGCTTAGGAGTTCAAGGCTATAGTGAGCTGTGATTGTGTCACTGCACTATGCAGAGTGAGACCCTGTCTCAAAAAAAAAAAAAAAAAAAAAAAAGAAATGCATTTGATTTCTGAGGTATCCTCTTTAAAAATAAAAGCATCTCGGCTGGGCACAGTGCCTCATACCTGTAATCCCAGCACTTTGGAAGGCCAAGGCAGATGGATCACCTGAGGTCAGGAGCTCAAGACCAGCCTGACCAACATGATGAAACTCCGTCTCTACTAAAAAAAATACAAAAAAATTAGCCAGGCATGGTGGCGGGTGCCTGCAATCCCAGCTACTCTGGAGGCTGAGGCAAGAGAATTACTTGAACCCAGGAGGCGGAGGTTGTAGTGAGCCGAGATTGCGCCATTGCACTCCAGCCTGGGCGACAGAGTGAGACTCCATCTCCAAATCAATCAATCAATCAATCAATCAATCAATCTCTGGAAAGTTTCTTCCTAGCACCTGAGATTAGCTACACTGAGAAAATGGGGATTTTGATGAGTAGAGGTTGGAGAATAGGACATGGAGAGCATGGAACACTTTGGTGGGTAGAATTGGCCAGTGCAAGAGGCAGAGGGAGTGCCCAGGTCCACAGCTGTACCCTGCACCATAGAGAGAGGCTCTCAAAGAGTAGAGAAGGGGTACAGAAGGAAGATGAATGACAACACAAACCAAAACATATGCTTAATATGTTTAAACAGCTACTTATGTAAAGCATTTAGAATAGCACCTAGACTCAAATAAGTATTTACTAATCATTGGTCCTAGGGCTAGTCAGTTGCCACAACAGGGAGAGAAAGTTCTATTCTTTCTCCTTCTTCTCCCTCCTCTCTTATCACGTGGTCTGCTGTTTCCAAGACTCAAAGATATTACTTGCCACCGGGGGTGGGGGGCAGTGTTGTCATGGGGGTTGGTGGTAGTGTGGTAGAAGCTCACACCTGTATTCCCAGCTACTCTGGAGGCTGAGGTAGGAGGACCACATGAGCCCTGGAGGTTGATGCTGCAGTTAACTGTGATAGCACCACTGCATTCCAGACTGGGCAATAGAACGAGACCTTGCCTCAAAAAAAAAAAAAAAAGACTTGCGCAATTTGTGGTATAGTTTAATTCCACGTTAGGTAAAAAGGCTTTAATGAGCTGGCCCTGGAACCGAAATAATACTCATTCTATTGTTTTCATGGAAAAAGTGACTAGCACACATTAGGCTCTCAATAAATCTTTGTTTAAACAAAAACATGTTTAGCATTCTAAACAACCAATGTATACTTGGGAATGGATCCTATTTATAGGTTGAGTGCTCCTTATGTACTGAAGGCATTTTTATTTAGCTCTTCAGAATTGAACAAGGAAGATTTGTAAGCTCTTGCAAGTGATAATTGTGTTAAAGTTTGTGATTTTATCTGACTTAATATTTTCTATTGAAAGTTAAAGAATTGGACATCCTCACCTTGGACAGGCTGGAGAAAAATATCCCTTGTATAAAAACTGAATTAGACGGACTTTTAGAGGCCTCACTGGGGTCCTGGAGCTGAATCTGGGAGCAGACCTGGAGACCTGAATGAGCTCAATGTTTCAGTGGAGGAAAATGAAAAAGTACCTATAGGTTTTATTGTTACTACTTTTGAGGGAGCAGAGAAGAGAGGGGTTGAATAGGAAAGTATGATCTGAGCAACAAGACTTGACTTCAAACTATAAAAAGGCCCTAACACTTTTTTGTGATCCACCTAGGCAGAAAACAGGTGGTGTCCTGAAGACTTACGGTAATGAACAGGTTGAGTGTGGTACGTGAGGTACAAATGACCAACACCTAGAGAGCCAGGGACAATTAAAAATCTCACTGGGCATGCCAGGCACAGTTGTTCATGCCTGAAATCCCAGCACTTTGGGGGGCCGAGGCGGGCGGATCATGAGGTCAGGAGTTCGAGACCTGCCTGACCAACATGATAAAGCCCCGTCTCTATTAAAAATACAAAAATTAGTGGCCCATGCCTATAATCCCAGCTACTCAGGAGGCTGAGGCAGGAGAATCACTTAAATTGGGGAGGCAGAGGTTGCAGTTAGCTGAGATCGCACCACTGCACTCCAACCTTGGCAACAGATGGAGACTCCATCTCAAAAAAAAAAAAAAAAAAACCTCACTGGGCAGGGTGGCTTGTGCCTGTAATCCCAGCACTTTGGGAGGCCAAAGCTGGCAGATCACTTGAGGCCAGGAGCTCAAGACCAGCCTGGGCAACATGGCAAAACCCCATCTCTACAAAAAAAAAATACACAAAAGAGTTAATCAAGTGTGGTGGCATAAGCATGTAGTCCCTGTAGTCCCAGCTACTTGGGAGGCTGAGGTGGGAGGATTGCTTGAGCCTGGGAGGTTGAGTGTGCAGTGAGCTGTGTTTGTGCTGTTACACTCAGCCTGGGCAACACAGTGAGACCCTGTCTCAAAAGAAAAGAAAGGAAGGAAGGGAAAGAAGGGAAAGGAAGGGGAAGGAAGGAAGGGAGGGAGGGAGTGAGGGAAGAAAGAGAGAAACAAAGAGAGAGAGACAACGAAAGAGAAAAAGAAAGACAGGAAGGAAGGAAGGGAGAAGGGGGAAAGAGAGGAGAGGAGAGGAGAAAAGAAAGAGAGAGAGAGAGAAAGAGAAATCTCATAGATGGAACATGTTCTTGGCTTTGTAATTGGTCACTGAGCCAAGATCATCAGAATGTGGTGAAAGTTGAGTGTCAGAAACAAAGGTAAAATCAGTCTCCTCTAAGAAAAATTCAGGAAGTCTTATAATCTAATAATCACTAATTGATTAAACTGGAGGAGAATTAGATGCCTAGGAAGGTTAACCAGTGAGTGCTTTTTTTTTTTTTTTTTTTTGCGACAGAGTCTCACTCTGTCACCCAGCCTGGAGTACAGTGGTGGGATCTCAGCTCACTGCAGCCTCCACCTCCCAGATTCTAGTGGTTCTCCTGCCTCAGCCTCCCAAGTAGCTGAGATTACAGGCACGTGGCACCACGCCCAGCTAATTTTTCACGATGACAAAGTTTCACCATGTTGGCCAGGCTGGTCTCGAACTCCTGACCTCAGGTGACCCATCCGCCTCGGCCTCCCAAAGTGCTGGGATTACAGGCGTGAGCCACCACATCCAGCAGAGTGCTTTTATAATCTAAAATTAAGTGAGAGAAATGTGTTTTCAAGAATACTAGAAGCAAAAGTATGGAACCAACTGTTAAAAACATTTTATTTATTTATTCTTTCCTATTTTCAAGATAGCCAAAACTCTTTCATTAATCTGTGTTCTCAAGGCAAAAAGACTTCCAGCCATTATTTTCAAAGCAGTCTGAATTAGTTGCTGCTTTTCTCACAAGGTCAATTAATAACTCCTCACAGCATACCTATGGAGCGTTCACATTAAAGTAACTCCTGGTTGGGCACAGTGGCTCATGCCTGTAATCACAGCACTTTGGGAAGCTGAAGTGCGCAGATCACTTGAGCCCAGGAGTTCGAGACTAGCCTGGGCAACATAGGGAAATCCCGTCTCTACAAAAATCAGCTGGACATGGTGGTATGCACCTGTAGCCCCAGCTACTTGGGAGGTTGAGATAGGAGGATCATTCGAACCTGAGAAGTGGAGGTTACAATGAACTGAGATTGCATAATTGCACTTTAGCCTGGGTGACAGAGCAAGACTTGTTTCAAAAAAAAACAAAACAAAACAGGTCAAGTACCTCCTGTGCTGTTTGAGCATGTCTACCAGAACCACTTCTCAATAGTTTCTCCTCTGTCTTCTTGAGAGGTGAGTCTATCCAATCATTCCCATTGCACTTATTTGCACATTTGTTTTTGGCTCATGTCTTTGTTTTTCTCATCAGCAACTCCCCCAGCCCCTACCTCCCAAGCTAGTTAAAAGAAAATGCCCTCAAAATGTGTAAATTCTGCGAAGAGCAACCAACTATGGCAAAAAAACATCCAAGGAGCCTTAGACTTGGATGATAGACTGTTTACAGTGATTAATATATTGGTATCACCTCAATGATAAAATTTACTGCTTACAACTGGTGTTTAATGTTTCTCTGTCTCTGAAAGAATTCCTTCCTTATGCTTAGCCCAATAATTCAAGTCCTGCTCCTGCCAGAATTAGGGTCTTGTTCTCCTCTCTTCCTGACTGTCCTTTCACTTGAAAAAAAAATCATTTTATTTAATGCTAACAAGATTCCACATAAGAAAGAAAAAAGAAATGATGCTATGCAAAGAACGAACAATTTGGAAACTTGGCTGCCGTGAATTGCAGGTTCCCATGAAATGCAATTGAACAACTCTTTTTTTTTTTTTTTTTTTTTTAAAGACAGAGTCTTGCCCTGTCACCCAGGTTGGAGTGCAGTGGAAAAATCTTGACTCACTGCAAACTCCGCCTCCCAGGTTCAAGCGATTCTCCTGCCTCAGCCTCCCGAGTAGCTGGGACTATGGGCGCCCGCCACCAAGCCAGGCTAATTTTTGTATTTTTAGTAAAGACGAGGTTTCACCATGTTGGCCAGGCTTCTCTCCAACTCCTGACCTCAGGTGATCCACCCGCCTCAGCCTCCCAAAGTACTGGGATTACAGGCATGAGCCACTGCGTCTGGCCTGAACAACTCTTTAATAAGGGCACCAGCATTTAGACCAAGAATTAGAGATTGCATATCTAAATAGGAACAGCTGTATCCAGCAGTGAAAACATCACCACCTAAAAAGGTTTTCAGTCAGAGAATCAACACTTAACAATTTATGTTCCCCAAAAAATTCATCACGGCTACAAAGAGTTTTCCCTTCAGATTCTGAATGGAACCAAAGAGAAATGATGACTCTAGCTACAAAATAAAAGCCCAAGGCCCAACTAAAACATTTGTGTTGGTGGCTACTAGTTTGGTTCATGACACAGTTGATTCAACTGCAGCAACTGCCTTCAACCCTAAAGAGAGCAGAAATGAAGAGACCAATCATGCCCTAGGCTAGTGTGCTAGCCACAGGACTCTAAAAATAAATGTGTCCCTGTGGACAGCCTTAGAAATGTTATCTGCTGAAAAGGATACATTAGCCTGTGTGTTTTTCCAAAGTCATTACTGAGTGACTAGGGCAATTCATATGTCTCAGAACTGAACTATTTGTATTTTGAGACCTCAACGATATTTGGGTTTAGTATTTTTTCTTAGAAGGGAGGGATAGGGGTATGAGGTGGTGGCTCACTCTTGTAATCTCAACACTTTGGGAGGCTGAGACCGGAGGATCACTTGAGTCCAGGAGTTCAAGACCAGCCTGAGCAATATAAGGAGACTCCGTCTCCACAAAAAAATTTTTTAAATAGCCAGGTGTGGTGCACACCTGTACTCCTAGCTACTCGGGAGACTAAGGTTGTGGGGAATCCCTTGAGCCTGGAAGTTCAAGGTTACAACGAGCTATGATTGGACCGAATAAGATACTGTCTCTAAAACAATAAAATAAAAATAAAAGAAGGGAGGGACAGGAAGCATCCTGTTTCAGAGCTTCCCAAAGCATGCATGCTTATCAGCTGTATGCAAGAGGATGAGTATTACATTCCTGGAAGTAGGGCAGGGAGGGTCTCAGTCTAAACTTGCAGAGTCTGTCCTTCAAACTTACTTGATAAGCAGCCTTCAGTTCTTAAAAGGATCAGGGCAGAGGGGGAAATGGGAGTTGACCACCAGAGACAGAAAGAAAAGCCATTTAAATATTACATGGGGGCCGGACACAGTGGCTCATACCTGTAGTCCTAGCACTTTGGGAGGCTGAGGTGAGATCACTTGAGCCCTGAAGTTCAAGAATGCAGTGAGCTATGATCATGCCACTGCAGTCCAGCCTGGGGGACAGAGCAAGACCCTTTATCTAAAAAAAATTTTAAAAATCACACTGGAGTAGAAACAGCCTCAGGATGAGCTAGAGGACAAGTATTTTGCCCATGGAGGTTTTTATAGTCACTTTCTATTTATGACCATCGATACTGGATTTCCACTTACGGTACTAATGTAAAATTTCCCTTAAAAAGTATTTCAGTTTGCAAAGTGAATGGATTTAATGTAACATGCTTATTAGTATGGTATTTAGGTATAGAGTGAATGGATGTTTAGGAGCTGCTGACTTGGAGATGAGCACTTGGTTTTAGGGCCACTCCACATCTACCCCTGGAACCTTGGGCAATTTACATACTTGCTTACTTTTTCTGAGCCTCCTGATCCTCAACTAACTATAAGATGTTTGGATGAGAAACACCAACCTCTAAAGGTGATTGTGATGAATACGTGATGCATGCTTAATGGTTAGTCTCTTTCCTTTCCTTAATGGGAAACGCAGCAAAACTCTCCCTCCTCATGGAATCTCCCTGCCTAGACTTGAGTCAATAAAGTGTAGGTAGAGATTGTTCAGATTACTAAATAATAGAATGCAGTCCAACAGAAGCTATATTTGTAGCCCAATTCATTGCATTTGCAAACAGAGAAGGCAGAAGAACTAAGTATCAACACAGCACTATCTCGTCACCAAGCAGTATATTTTAGGGCCCTGTACTATAGTGACTGGGCTGCAGGCCAGTTTCGGGCATTCTTTTGTTTTGTTTTGTTTTAAATAGAGACGGGGTCTCGCAGTGTTGTCCAGACTAGTCTCAAACCCCTGAGCTCAAGTGGTGCTTCCTCCTCAGCCTCCCAAAGTGCTGGGATTACAGGCATTCACCACCATGCCTGGCCAGGGTCATTCCCGAGGTTTGGACCAGGTCACCCAGCCCAGTCAGGAAGATCCAGCAGTGAACAACCTTGGCCTCCCCTTCAGCAGCTTTGACCACTCTAAAGCCCCCTGCTATGGCTATGATGAGCAGCTGAGCCTGTGCCCAGAGTGGCTGAGTTCTGGCAAAGACAAGAATAAAAGCATCCTGCAGAACAAGTATGTCCGATGTTCTGTTGGAACTGAGGTCTGCCATCTCTGGATGGTCCTGTGTCACCGTTTGATGCTAAATCCTCAGCATGTGCAGCTCCTTTTTGACAATGAAGTTCTCCCTGATCACATGACAATGAAGCAGCTATGGCTCTCCACTGGTTCGACAAGCTATCCCCTTTGCTTTTACAATACAGTGTGAAAGAGAAGAGGAGGTAGGGGCCAAACCCTCACCCCATCCCACTCCCCTTCCGTCCTGATATTTATAAGAAATTAACTGCAGCTTTATTTTTTGAAATAGAAACTTTTAAAAAGCCAAAAAAGTGGGGGGGGGGGCGGCAACAGTATGTACATATTTGTGGATGTATGTACACACACGCAGAGAGAGAGAGACACTCACACACATTCCCACCCCATTGTAAAATTTCAGGAGGAAACTTCTAAATAAATGTCATTTTTGGCTGGGTGTGGTGGCTCATGCCTGTAATCCCAGCACTTTGGGAGGCCAAGGCAGGCAGATCACAAGGTCAGGAGTTCGAGACCAGCCTGCCCAACATGGCAAAACCCCATCTCTACTAAAAATACAAAAAACTAGCCAGGTGTGTGGTGGTAGGCACCTGTAATCCCAGTTACTCAGGAGGCTGAGACAAGAGAATCGCTTGAACCCGGGAGGCGGAGTTTGCAGTCAGCCGAGATCATGCCACTGCACTCCAGCCTGGGCAATAAGAGTGAAACTCCATCTCAAAAAAAAAAAAAAAAAAAAAAAGAAAGAAATGTCATTTTTGAGATGGAAAGACAATTCCTGTGCCATCATTTTTTCTTCCTCTCTTTCTTCTTCTTCCCTTTCTTTCTTTTCTTCTACATGTAAAAGTACACCAAAAATTATGTTGAATATTCTCTGTTTTTTGTGAGACAGAGTTGCTCTGTTGCCCAGACTGGAGTGCAATGGCACGATCTTGGCTCACTGCAACCTCCGCCTCCCGGGTTCAAGCAATTCTCCTGCCTCAGCCTCCCAAGTAGCTAGTATTACAGGTGCCTGCCACGCCTCGCTAATTTTTGTATTTTTAGTAGAGACAGGATTTCACCATGTTGGCCAGACTGATCTCAAACTCCTGACCTCAAGTGATCCGCCCGCCTTGGCCCCCAAAGTGCTGGGATTACAGGTGTGAGCCACTGTGTCTGGCCTGAATATTCTCTAATTTAAGGTTTATTATCTCTTTTTGTCCTCCACTCATTAAAGGCCAGTAAATTTTTTAAAAGTGATTTAAAAAAATAAATACAAGCGGCCAAAACAAATAAAGGAAAGCATATCTAATCTCGCTAAAGGTAGTCAAACACAGGTGAAAAATCAAGAACCAATATTCACCTATAAAAAATGTTTTATTAGCTGAGCATAGTGGTGCATGCCAATAGTCCCAGCTACCTGGGAAGGCTGAGGTGGGAGGATTTCAGAAACACCAGAGTTCCAGGTTACAGTGCACTATGATCACACCATTGCACTACAGCCTGGGTGACAAAGCAAGCCATTTCACATACGCACACACAAAAGTGTTTCACATAACAATGCCCACTGTTAAAATGGATGTGGGCAAACACTTCTGCCCTCCTAGTGGGAGTATAAATGGGCACAACCTTGTGGAGGATAAGGTGTAGTGCTATTAAAAACTTGAAAACTATTCTTTGACCCCCTCTGGAGTCTTTATTTTAAGAAAATAATAGTTGTGCTCAAAACTGTATTAAGAGGATGTTTACTGTATCATGATTTATGATAGCACAAAACAAAATAGCCTAAAAGTCCAACAATAGCAAGATCCTAAAATCAAATATGATAGAGCCATGTGATAAAAAGTGCCCCACTATTTAAAATGATTGTGTTGAAAGAGAAAAAAATAAAGTGGTTTCAAATGGAAGAGAAAAAAGAAATATTTATAGAATGAATATTCCCAAAAATAATTGAGCACCATCACAATGGATTTCAGTCACATCCACGCATAGCTCATAAGAGCAGGCCTTACCAGCCTGCCCACAAAACAAGGTCATGCTTGATTTTGCCACTCATATGGTGGCTTGAGCCCCTCTCCAACCACCTGTTCTCCCTTCTCATTGAAACCGCCTTTGCAAAATTATGACAGTAAGAGAAGTCTGACATAGTTGACTCTGTCTTGTTCCTGACCTTCAAGCTCTCCTTATAGCTTATAGTTATAAAGCTAACTTTAGGAGGAATTTATAGTTTAGCTTGAAAGCAAGGAAAATAGTCTCTCTCTAAATTAACTCTTCTTGCTCAGGGACCAACACCCGCCTTCTTTAGACTAATGAAAGGTCACAAGAATAGGATTATGGGAAGAGCCTGCACTCTGCCAAAATGTAGGTGTAGTTTCCATAATCCTCCGTTACTGCTCAGAAATCATGTGGCCAGAGAGCGCAAGATTTGTGACTTTCTCTATTGCTGTTATTGGTAACATCACTATTGTAAAACCTAAGATTGGTTTTTGAGATATTTTTCAGACTGACCCCACCCGGACTCTTGACTCAACTGGTCTGGTGGCCCCACCCAGAGGTGGACTCAGTACACAGGGAATGTTTTCCACATCACTGTGATTTCATCCCCAACCCATCAGCACCATCCATTCCTTAGCCCCCTGCCCACGAAATTGTCCATAAAAACCCTAACCTTCAAGCTTGGAGGTGGGGGAGACTGACTTGAATGATAACTCCAGTTCTCCTGGGTGGGCCAGCCTCTTCTTCTCTACTGCAGTGCCTTAGTCTCAGTGAATTGATTTTCCCTGTGCAGTGGGCAGGAAGAACTTGTTAGGTGATTACACCACATCCCTGCCCACCTGACCCAACAAGAAAGCAGTCCCTCTCAGACTGTCCCTGAGATATTTCTGGGGGTCCCAAAGGTGGATGGGGGCTGTTGGCTGTGGTCACAGCACAGTACCTTCCCATTCGGCCCCTCCTCCTCCGTCTCCCACTTGATGCCACATGCAGAAGCCTCACCACTGGTCCTCCTGACAGTGTGTGTAGTGAGAAAGCCAAGGTCAGTGTCTGGTGTGGCCTCCACCAATTTGTTACAGGTAATTAGACAGGCATGAGTGGGGCAGGAGAGGGCTCTCCCGGACCCACAAGGAATGTCGGGTGATGGTTCGGTAATTATCACATTGCCTCGTTAAAAGTGACAAATTGGCAGCCGGTGCCAGGGAGAGGTCATTTCCTAATCGTCCACACCAGTTGCACTAAGTCTTAATTGAGGCTGGTGCGGTGGCTCACACCTGTAATCCCAACATTTTGGGAGGCCAAGGCAGGTGAATCACCTGAAGTCAGGGGTTCAAGGCCAACATGAAGAAACTCCATCTCCACCAAAAATACAAAAATTAGCTGGGCATGGTGGTGGGCACCTGTAATCCCAGCTACTTGGGAGGCCGAGGCAGGAGAATCACATGAACCTGGGAGGCGGAGGTTGCAGTGAGCTGAGATCGTGCCACTGCACTCCAACCTGGGTGACAGAGCGAGATGCCATCGCAAAAACAAATAAATAAATAAATAAATAAATAAATAAATAAATAAAAGTGTTAATTGAGTGCAGGCACCAGGGAGAAGCAACTTCCTGTGCATGTGCATTGAGACAAAATGGCAGAACATGACCTTCCGGAAGCACACCACTGGAAAAGGGAAGAAAGCCTTAGATGGGCATGTGCACAACGACCTAAACACACTGAGTGTGCTCACCTCCCAAGGGTAAGGAGGGCACTGCTCGTGTGGGCAACCCACCCTAAGGGGAGAATCATTGGAAAGGGGCCAGCTTATAAAGTCCTAGTTAGGTGAAACACTGCACTTGTTCTTCAAGTCGCCCACTTGGGTCTCTTCCAAGAGTACTTTCCTTTCTTTCCTGTTCTAAAGCACTTTTAAATAAACTTCCACTCCTGCTTTGAAACTTGCCCATGTCACTTTTTCTGCCTTTTGTCCCTTAGTCAAATTCTGTCTTCTGAGGAGGCAAGAATTGAGGGGGCTGCAGACTGATACATATTTCCTGCCAGTAACGTGGATAATTTCCAGCAGTAACATATTTGGTGCCCTGAGACTCACATATTTGCCACCCATAACATATTGTATTGGCATCCAAGTAGAAAGCAAAGGGCTAGGCCCACTGTGGTCCTCACTGGTCCTCCTGGTACTGGGGGAGTGGCCTACTAACCCTATGCTTTACTTTGCCCCAAGGAACCAAGCAGCTCTGTTTAGGCCAAAGTCCCAAAGTTTCAAGAAAGGTTAGTTCTATCAGTGTAGGCCCTCAGATCTTGCTGAGAATCTTACCAAATGTAATGAAATCACTTTTATCAGCTTTTAGTTTTCTCTTCTTTTATCCCAACGGCTCAAACACCGTTGAGAACGGACGTTAAGCCGTCTCTGTTCATTGTCCTTCTGGCCTCTGAGCTAAAAATAAACAAACAAATAAATGCCCCAAACTCTCCAAAAGAATTCTAACCTATTCAGATGCAACTCTCATCCTTTTCTTCCTTCTCCTCCCCAAATCTTCCCACTCATCTTCAATATTTTTAAGTTTCTGGAACTACCAGCCCCACAAGCATGTCCTTCAGAGGCTGCAAGGCCTATGCACTAAAAGCCATCATGAGGGTAATTTTGCTTTAACAGAATTGAAAATATATTTTTTCTTCTACTCTGTCATGTATATATATATTTCATATATATTATATACATTTCATATATATATTTCATATATATTTCATATTTATAATATATATTTCATATATATAATAAATATTTCATATATATTATATATATTTCATATATATAATATTATATATTTCATATATATTATATATTATATATATGAAATATGTTATATATTATATATATGAAATATATGTTATATATTATATATATGAAATATACATTTCATATATATAATATATATGAAATATATATATTATATATATTTCATATATATAATATATATGAAATATATATAATATATATATTTCATATATATAATATATATGAAATATGTATATTATATATGAAACATATATAATATATATGAAATATATTATATAAATGAAATATATATACTATATATGAAATATATTATATAAATGAAATATATATACTATATATGAAATATATTATATAAATGAAATATATATACTATATATGAAATATATTATATAAATGAAATATATATACTATATATGAAATATATTATATATATGAAATATATATACTATATATGAAATATATTATATATATGAAATATATATACTATATATGAAATATATTTATATATATGAAATATATATACTATATATGAAATATATTATATATATGAAATATATATACTATATATGAAATATATTATATATATGAAATATATATACTATATATGAAATATATTATATATATGAAATATATATAATATATATGAAATATATTATATAAATGAAATATATATATATATATGAAATATATTATATAAATGAAATATATATATATATATGAAATATATATATAAATGAATATATATTATATACATTTCATATATATATTTCATATATATTTCATATTTATAATATATATTTCATATATATAATAAATATTTCATATATATTATATATATTTCATATATATAATATTATATATTTCATATATATTATATATTATATATATGAAATATGTTATATATTATATATATGAAATATATGTTATATATTATATATATGAAATATACATTTCATATATATAATATATATGAAATATATATATTATATATATTCATATATATAATATATATGAAATATATATAATATATATATTTCATATATATTATATACATTTCATATATATATTTCATATATATTTCATATTTATAATATATATTTCATATATATAATAAATATTTCATATATATTATATATATTTCATATATATAATATTATATATTTCATATATATTATATATTATATATATGAAATATGTTATATATTATATATATGAAATATATGTTATATATTATATATATGAAATATACATTTCATATATATAATATATATGAAATATATATATTATATATATTTCATATATATAATATATATGAAATATATATAATATATATATATTTCAAATATGATATATATATTTCATATATAATATATATTTCATATATAATATATATATTTCATATATAATATATATTTCATATATATATTTCATACATAATATATATATTTCATATATATATTTCATATATAATATATATATTTCATATATATATTTCATATATAATATATATATTTCATATATAATATATATATTTCATATATATAATATATATATTTTATATATATTATATATATATTTCATATATATAATATATATATTTCATATATAATATATATATTTCATATATATAATATATTTCGTATATATAGTATATTTCATACATATAATATATTTCATATATAATAGATATATTTCATATATATAATATATTTCATATACATAAGATATTTCATATATACATTTCATATACATAAGATATTTCATATATATATTTCATATATATGCTTCATATATATGTTTCATATATATGCTTCATATATATGTTTCATATATATGCTTCATATATATGTTTCATATATATGCTTCATATATATGTTTCATATATATGCTTCATATATATGTTTCATATATATGCTTCATATATATGTTTCATATATATGCTTCATATATATATATATTTTTTTGAGACGAGGTCTTGCTATGTTGCCCAGGCTGGTCTTGAACTCTGGAGCTCAAGCAATCCGCTCAACTTTGCCTCCGAAAGTGCTGGGATTACAGGCGTGAGCCACCATGCCTGGCCAGCCCTTTCATAATTTTAAAGCCGAAATTTTGGCAAATTTTATTCTTACTGTAGCCATCAACAATTTGCTTACAAAAGTATCTCTCCCAATCATGAGTCTAGGAAGAAAATAAGAATTTATAACCATAAGTTATACTTTCTCCTCTATCCAGTTCCCGGAATCATTACTTCTACTTTAATATATTCAAAAGACCGTGATTTTCATCACACCTACTCTGGGATTAACCAAATGGCCTTAACAAACATTTGTCCTTTCAAAATTTAAAAAAATTCATTAATTACATATTTTTCCATAAAAATAATATCCATGGTGAGAACACACATTGATATAACTATTTTGGAGAACAATTTAGCAATATTATCTATGAAAATAAAAAGAGCGGTAATTTCAGAGTTGAAATTTTCACTGATTTTTATTTTCTTATTTTTGCTTACTTTGTTTTTTTTTCCTATGTTGAGCAGCTACTGCTTGTGTAACTAAAAATATTGAAAAATGTTTTTAGAAATATAGAAAAGAAAAAGACACCTATCCAAAACTCCCAGCTAGGGGAGGTTCAAGTCTTTTAAATTACATCTAAGGTTACTTAACTTGTGTGATTAGATTTGCTATTACAAAGTGTTCCTGAATTTACAACTCACCTTTCACAAGTGCTGGACATCACACTGTGGGAATGTTTTACTCACGCTGAGAATGGCATCAACCCGTTTCCCTCTTAATCTGTGACTTTGTTACAACTCTTTCTTTGAAACTCAAACCCTCTCATCCATAAATCCAGCTTCCAGATCCTCTCTCCTCTGAGCCTTAGCCACCTGCTCAGATGTCACTTAGGTGATACCACACCCATTGTTAACCATCTTTTTACCTACCTGCCGTATCTCCCCCTGGATCTGAGAGCTTCTCTTGGACCTGGACTGCTCCTCCCATTTCTTTGCATCCTGAGTGAGGAACACAGTATAGCAGATGCTTAAAAACTGTTTGAAGATAAAATAAAATAATCTCACTTTTACTAATTTCTGTGTATTAATGCTGCACACTGTATTTAAGATCTTATTATAAAAGGTTTTAATATTCTCCATAGGGTGGATTTAAGGTGACTGCATGGAGGGATGAAATAATGCCTATGAATATGATGAAGCTGATCAATAAAAAAAAAATGCCTGGCTAGATGGTGGCATTTTAAGCAACTTAAAAGTCTGATGCTAAGCAATTTCCTTCTTAACATTTTTCTAGAAAGATTCATTTCCCTGAACAATTAGTCATCTCCGAGAATTCCTTTTTCCTCTGTTTAACAAAACTACAATGACTGGAAAATATGCTGATGTTGGAAAGTCAGGATAAATATTTTCACAAAATATTTAAATCTGAAGTCTACAGTAACTTTTTATTTTTAATTTGTGAATTTGTGTGTTTATTATTTATTTACTATCTGTGGCTATTTCCTTATAAGTGATAAAATTTTAGGGAGAAATAGTTACAAATATAAATATTTTAAAAATATTATAGTAATTATTATCATAAACAGACTATTCAAACACCTCTTCACTTGATATTATCAAACTGTATTTACTTGTCCTTTTCTTTATAACCAACTTGCTTCCTTCCTTCCTTCCTTGCTTCCTTTCCTTCCTTTCCTTCCTTTCCTTCCATCTTTCCTTCTTTCTTCTCTTTGTTGTTGAGACAGGGACTGGCTCTGTTTCCCAGGCTGGAGTGCATTGGCACAATCTTGGCTCACTGCAACCTCCACCTCCTGGGCTCGAGCGATCATCCCACCTCAGCCTCCCAAATAGCTGGGACTACATACACACACCACATTCAGCTAATTTTTGTGTTTTTTGTAGAGTCGGGGTTTTGCCATGTTGCCTGGACTGGTCTCAAACTCCCAAGCTCAAGTGATCCACCCACCTCGGCCTCCCAAAGTGCTGGGATTACAGGGTTGAGTCACTGTGCCTGGCCAATCTTTTATCTTTATCAAATTTTTTTCAACCTGAGGTCGTTTCTCTAAGAGTAAGAAAACTTTTTACTCCTATACATTTTTCCAATACCCCCAATGTTGGGTATTGACCAATTTGGACTCTGTAATTTTTTTTTTTTAGAGATGGGGTCTGACTATGTCGCCAAGAATGAAGTGCAGTGGCTATTCACAAGGATAGTGCACTACAGCCTTGAACTCCTGGGCTCAAGTGATCCCCCCACCTCAGCCTCTTGAGTAGCTGGCATTATAGGCGTGCACTACTACACCCAGTTTTTGCCTATTTTTAAATAGTCATCTTTTTAATTTAAAAAAATTACCTTTTAAAAATTTCTTGTTCTCATGAAAATTACATAACGCATGAGCACTTTAGAAAAATTAGGGAATACACATAATTTAAGGCTGGGCATGGTGGCTTATGCCTGTAATCCCAGCACTTTGGGAGGCCAAGGCGGGAGGATCACCTAAGGTCAGGAGTTCAAGACCAGCCTGGCCAAAATGGGGAAACCCCATCTCTACTTAAAATACAAAAATTAGCTGGGCATGGTGGCATGCACCTGCAATCCCGGCTACTCTGGAGGCTGAGGCAGGAGAATTGCTTGAATGCAGGAGAATCGCTTGAACACAGGAGGCAGAGATTGCAGTGAGCAGAGATTGTGCATTGCACCCCAGCCTGGGTTACGAAAGCAAAAAAACTCCATCTCAAAAAAAAAAAAAATAGAAAAAAGAAAATACACATAAATTAAAATTTTAAATCATGAAATTTCACCATTCAGAAACAGCCAGTATTGGCTAGGCGTGGTGGCTCACGCCTGTATCCTAGCACTTCAGGAGGCTGAGACGGGCGGATCACGAGGTCAGGAGATGGAGACCATCTTGGCTAACATGATGAAACCCTGCGTCTACTAAAAATACAAAAACAAAATTAGCCAGGCGTGGTGGTGGGCGCCTGTAGTCCCAGCTCCCAGCTACTCGGGAGGCTGAGGCAGGAGAATGGTGTGAACCTGAGAGGCGGAGCTTGCAGTGAGCCGAGATCGCGCCACTGCATTCCAGCATGGGCAACAGAGCGAGACTCCATCTCAAAAAAAAAAAAAACAAAAACAAAGAAAAAAGAAATAGCCAGTATTTTTAGTATTTTGGCGTATAGTCTTCCAAACTCTTAGATACAGAGATCAATATGTATATATAAATGTTTTATTAAAAATAAGGCCATGCTGTATAGTCTTTGCTAATAACTATTTACAAGACAATATATTCTGAACATCTTTTACGGCCATAGCTATATTTATACAAGATCATTTGTAAGCAATTCATGTAGACATTCATATAACATACAGAAAAGTTTGTAAAAAAATAAAATAAAAACAAGGAATAGTCAGAAAACTATTCTTTCTAGTTTTGGATCTGTCATCTTTTAGAGGTGTGACATTGTTTCACTCTGTTCCTCTTTTCCCCGTTCATCAAAATAAGAAAATAGTACTGCTCAAATCTACCTCACATATTTGTCATATTCATCAATTGGAAACACCTTTATAGGTTTCAAGTGCTATTCAAAGGCAAGACCTTATGATCTCTGGACAAATTCATAGCCAGGATATGACATCGGCAGGGCCTAAATAATATCTTCTGGAAGATAATAACCTTTGTTCATCATGCATGCCTGCAGTCATGCACTGGAAAAAGACTTCTTGAGCATCTCTTATATGTCAATGTGAGCAATCGAAATCAAGTTTCTGTCCTTGTTAATCAAAAGCCAGATGTTAATCAAATAGTCAAATAATTGTTTATTATATTATTTTTTATTTAGTTTATTATTCCAACCTCTAAAAATCAAGATTTTTCTTTTTTTTTTTTTTTTTTTTTAAGACGGAGTCTTGCTCTGTCACCCAGGCTGGAGTACAATGGCAATCTCAGCTCACTGCAACCTCCACCTCCAGGGTTCAAGCGATTCTCTTGCCTCAGCCTCCTGAGTAGCTGGGATTACAGGCACCCGCCACCACGCCCAGCTAATATTTTGTATTTTTAGTAGAGATGGGGTTTCACCATGTTGGCCAGACTGGTTTCAAACTCCTGACCTCGAGTGATCCACCTGCCTTGACCTCCCAAAGTGCTAGGTGCTAGGATTACAGGTGAGAGCCACTGTGCCTGCCCCCCCCCTTTTTTTTTTTTTTTGGGAGAGAAGGGGGGTCTTGTTATGTTGCCCATGTTGGTCTTGAACTCTTGGCCTCAAGTGATCCTCCTGCCTTGACCTCCCAAAGTACTGGGATTACAGGTGTGAGTCACCATTTGAGGCCATGATTTTTAACTGTTTTTCAAATGCATTACACTTACGAACTATATCTCTATTTTTAAAAATACAATGTAATGATTCTTTTAACTGAGAATTAATAAGAAAACAAAAAGCTTACTCTGGATCAGGGAAGCTACAAATTTACATGTGTATCTCATTTGATGCTGGCTATAATGATTACAGATTCTGATATTCTCATTTTACATATTGAGGTTTAGAGAGGGTTCAGTATTTACAGGTCACACAGGTAATATATATCTAAACCTGGTATTCCCAAACCATCTTCTTACCTCTACTCTTCAGTTTCTGCCCTTTCTCATGTCTACCTACCTGCTTTATTTATTTATTTATTTGTTTATTTATTTATTTGAGACAGAGTCTTGCTCTGTCACCCAGGCTAGAGTGCAGCGGTGCAATCTCAGCTCACTGCAACCTTCATCTCCCGGGCTCAAGTGCTTCTCCTGCCTCAGCCTCCCAAGTAGCTGGGTTTACATGCCTGGCTAATTTTTGTATTTTCAGTAGAGACGAGGTTTCACCATGTTGGCCAGGCTGGTCTTGAACTCCTGACCTCAGGTGATCCACCCGCCTTGGCCTCCCAAAGTGTTAAGATTACAAGCATGAACCACCGCACCCGACCACCTTTAAAAATTGTAATTTGTGCTAGGTGCAGTGGCGGTGTGCCTGTAGTCCCAGCTCTCCAGAAGGCTGTGGTAGGAAGATGACTTGAGCCCAGGAATTCAAGGCATAAGTGCACTATGATTGTGCCTGTGTATAGCCACTGTACTCCAGCCTGGGCAACATAGTGAGACCCCATGTCAAAAGAAAAAAAATGTAATTTGTTATCAATGTTGGGATGAATGTTTTTGTTTTGTTGTGTTTGTTTAAACAAAGTATTGTGACTATAAATCACAAAAAAAAATAGACCATTGAAACAACTCAAATACATAGGAAAACTATCGGTGAAACAAAGCAGTAATGGATGTCAAAGTGAGCTATGTGACCAAAACAGTTTACTGTCTTCAAAGAATCAGCATATAATGGAAAGAAGATTTGAATGACCTATCCACTTTCAGCACTGTCTTCTATGCAAATTTCCAATGATTTACATTGGAATTGTAACTTTAGATTCTAATTTTTATTTTCTGAATACAGTTTTTGCTTTAAATTGCATATATTATATGTAGTTTTTTGTTTAAATTGTACAGGTTTGTTTCTTGCCTTTAGACTAATGTCCTTTTTTTAGATTGCACTTTGGAGAAACCAAGGATCATATTGCTTAGCATTCACTCATCCATTAAAGATGTATTATGCCAGACATTTTGGTGGGCAGTAGTATGAGGGAATAGTAATAGAGATGAGAATATAAAGATGAATAAGACACTGACATTGTTTTCAAGAAGGTGAATATGATAATGCCATTGCTTTCACAGTCCGCTGGGAAAGTCTCAGTCTAGGGAGACACATATAGTTAAATACCGTACTATGGAAGGAAAAAGATAGAAGCTGATCAACTAGGGGTCAAGAAGACTTTTTTTTTTTTTTCTTTGAGATGTAGTTTTATTCTTGTTGCCCAGGCTGGAGTGCAATGGCGTGATCTTGGCTCACCGCAACCTCCGCCTCCCGGGTTCAAGCAATTCTCCTACCTCAGCCTCCCGAATAGCTGAGATTACAGGCACTTGCCACCATACCCAGCTAATTTTTGTATTTTTAGTAGAGACAGTGTTTCACCATGTTGGTCAGGCTGCTCTCAAACTCCTGACCTCAGGTGATCTGCCCACCTCGGCCTCCCAAAGTGCTGGGATTACAGGTGTGAGCCACCGTGCCCAGCCAAGAAGACTTCTTATAGATATTAAGATTTGAGCTAGATCTTGAAGGATGAGAAATAGCTTATCATTTTGAGATAGAGAAAAGGATTTAGGGCAAAAGAAAAACCGGTGGACACATGACCAAATATCTTATGTTGGCATAAAAGAGGCTGAATAAGGTTTACAAAGGAGAGTTATTGGGAGTGAAAATAGAGGATGGGCTGAGACCAGATCACCAAAGACTTTCCTGGAAGGTTTTCAAGTAGAATGTGATGCAATTATATTTGTGAACCAACTTTATTTGGTTCCATGTGTCAACCCGAAATAATTCAAAGCATTAAAATTTAGTTTAAAAGAGTTTATTTAAGCTAAAAGTTGGTAATTGCCATCTGGAAAACACAGACTCAAGAGAAATGGGGTCAGTGTTCTGAAATTAAAAGTTAAGTTTTTGAGGCTGGGTGCAGTGGCTCATGTCTGTAATCCTAGTGCTTTGGGAGGCTGAAGCAGGAGGACTGCTTGAGCCCAGGAGTTCAAGACCAGCTTGGGCAACATAGCAAGACCCCATCTCTACAAAAAATAAATTTATTAAATTTATTTTTTAATTTAATGTATATATAATTTCATTAAGTCATAAATAAGGCAATTTTTTAAAAACCATCATTGAAAATATGCTTGCCCTAGAGATTAAAAAGTTAAGGAAGGCACTTATACGATAGTAGCAGGCTGAAATTAAAAATAATTCAAAACTTGATATTCTTCTTTTTTAGTCAAATTCTCACCTACAGAAAGTCTAACCTGATTCCTTTTTTGCTTTGTCTGATTCATGTTAATTTCTGTGGCTGGTTTAAATTTTTATAATACAGCAAATTTGGGTCATGAAGGTAGATTGCCAGCTGTTTCCAAGAATAGTTTAATTTTTATTTTTAAACACTTTTTCTTTCCAACTTTTAGGTTCAAGGGGTACATGTGCGGGTTTGTTAAATGGGTAAATTGTGTGTTGCAGGGGTTTGATATACAGATGATTTTGTCACCCAAATAATACCCAAATAATACCCAATAGGTAGTTTTTCAATCCTCATCTTCTTGTCACCCTCCACCCTCAAACAGGCCCCAGTGTCTATCGTTCCATTCTTTGTGTCCATGTGGATTCAATGTTTAACTCCCAGTTATGATATGAGAACATGTGGTATTTGGTTTTCTGTTCCTGCTTTAAATCACTTAAGATAATGGCCTCCAGCTCCATCTATGTTTCTGCAAAAATCATGAGCTCATTTTTTACAGCTGTGTAATATTCCATGTCGTATATGTATACCACATTTTCTTTATCCAGTCCACCACTGATAAGCATCTAGGTTGACTTCATGTCTGTGCTATCGTGAATAGTGTTGCAATGAACATACACGTGCATGTGTCTTTATGGTAGAACGATTTATATTCCTTTGGCTATATAACCAGCAGTGGAATTGCTGGGTTGAACAGTAGTTCTCTTTTAAGTTCTTTGAGAAATCTCCAGACTGCTTTCCACAGTGGCTGAACTAATTTACATTCTCACCAGCAGTGTATAAGCATTCTCTTTTCTCTCTGTAACCTTGTCAACATCTGTTATTTTTTGACTTTTTAGTAATAGCCATCAAAAATAGTTTTCAATTTAAAAAAACTAGCAATGTTCATTGTTTTCTTTGAAACATGGGAAAGTTTCATTGGATATCTTTCATATTATTGTTTCTTCTCATGTTCAGAAATGCATTTTAGATGCTTGTGATTGATTCTGCCTTTCCAGATTGGTCGGTGTTGCAATGACTATGCAGATGTCAGTGAAAGTGTGAGCGGTCTACAAGCCCTGGAACATGATGTGAAGTCATTACTTGTTTTTTGTGTCATTGTTGTTTGTTTGTTTATTTTTGAGTGGGAGTCTCGCTCTGTCACCCAGGCTGGAGTGCAGTGGCACGATCTCGGCTCACTGCAACCTCTGCCTCCCAGGTTCAAGCTATTCTCCTGCTTCAGCCCCCCAAGTAGCTGGGACTACAGGCGCCTGCCACCATACCCAGCTAATTTTTGTATTTTTAGTAGAGACGGGGTTTCACCATGTTGGCCAGGCTGGTCTTGAACTCCTGACCACAGGTGATCCACCCACCTTGGCTTCCCAAAGTGCTGGAATTACAGGCATGAGCCACCGTGCCCAGCCGCATTACTTGTTTTTGATGCTCAGCTATATTGCTTCCCGTCTGAAAGGAAAACTCCCGTTTCCTCTGTACTTTACTCTCAACACTCACCCCACTTCACTGCTGACATCAAATGTATGTTGCTGCTATTGTTGTTGTTGTTGTTTTCCCACACCAACTGTCTGGACACCAACTAGGTGTCCCACAATTCAAATAAATTCTGACACTACTCCCTGAGCTTAGCCTAAACTCCTCAGAAGAAGGGCTCAGTCCTGCAAGACTGCCCTTACTTCCTATGCCAGTTCCAAGTCGGCTGTGAGTCTGACTGACCAGCTATTAATTGGAAGTTCCCACAACCCCCACCCCTGTGCCAACTTCAGTTTTAATAATTTGCTAGAACTGGCCGGGCACGGTGTAATCCCAGCACTTTGAAAAGCCTGTAATCCCAGCACTTTGAGAAGCCAAAGTGGTGGATCACCTGAGGTCAGGAGTGCGAGAGCAGCCTAGCCAATGTGGTGAAACCCCGTCTCCACTAAAAATATAAAAATTAGCTGGGTATGGTGTGGTGCTCGCCTGTAATCCCAGCTACTTGGGAGGCTGAGGCATGAGAATTGCTTGAACCCAGGAGGCAGAGGTTGCAGTGAGCCGAGATCACGCCGCTGCACTCCAGCCTAGGCAACAGAGTGAGACTCCATCTCAAAAAAAAAAAAATTGCTACAACAGCTCGAAGAACTCAGTAAAAAGTTTACTTACTGAATTACCAGTTTACCATAAAACGATACAACTCAGGAACAGCCAGATAGAAGAGACACATAGGGCCAGGTAGGCTGGAAAGGGTGTGCAGTTTCCATTCCCTCTTCAAGCACACCACCCTCCCAACACCTCCCTGGGTTCCACAACCTGGAAGCTGTCTCTGAACCCTGTCCTTTTGGGGTTTTACTGAGGCCTCATTCTGTAGGCATGATTGATTAAGTCATTGACCATTGTGGTTAAGTCAATCTTCAATCTCTCTCTCCTACCGGATATAGGGGTTTGGGGGGCTAAAATTTCAAACCCTCTAACCACATGGTTAGTCGCCCTGGCAACCAGCCCCCATCCTGAGGCTATCCAGGAGCCCCCAGCTATCAGTCGTTCATTAGCATACACAAAGGCATTTATCACTTCAGTGATCCCAGTGATTTTAGGATTATGGATTTCTGTATTAGTTTGTTCTTGCATTGCTATAAAGAAATACCTGAGTCTTGGCAATTTATAAAGAAAAGAGATTTAGGCTGGGCTCAGTGGCTCATGCCTATAATCTTGGCACTTTAGGAGGCCGAGGTGGGTGGATTGCTTGAGCTCAGGAATTTGAGATCCTGTGCAGCATGGTGAAACCCCATCTCTACCAAAAATACAAAAATTAGATAAGCTGGGTGGCTCACATCTGTATTCCCAGCTACTTAGGAGGCTGAGGTGGGAGGATTGCTTAAGCCTGGGAGGCTGAGGCTGCAGTGAGCTGTGATCACACTCCTGCATTCCCACCTGGGTGACAGAGTGAGACCCTGTCTCCAAAAAAAAAAAAAAAAAAAAAGAGGAAGAAGAAGAAAAGAAAAGAAAAGAGTTTTTATTGCCTCACAGTTCCACAGGCTGTACAGGAAGGATGATACTGGCATCTGCTCAGTGTCTGGGGAGACCTCAGAAAACTTACAATCATGGTGGAAAGTAAAGCAGGAGCAGGCATGTATTACATGACAGGAGCAGGAGCAAAAGAGAAAGGGGAGGTACCGTACACTTTTAAACAACCAAATCTTGTAAGAACTCACTCACTATCATGAGAACAGCACCAAGGAAATGGTACTAAACCATTCATTCATGAGAAATCCGCCCCATGATCCAATCACCTCCCACCAGCCTCACCTCCAACATTGAGAATTACAATTCAACATGATATTTGGTAGGGACACAGATCCAGAGCACATCAAGCTGTGTGCCAAGGGAGTGAAAGGAAAGTGACCAAATATGTATTTCTTCTTCTTATTTTTTTTAAAAAATAGAGATGGAGTCTCATTATGTTACCCAGGCTGGTCTCGAACTCCTGGGCTCAAGCAATCCACCTGTTTTGGCCTCCCAAAGTGCTAAAATTATAGGCATGAACCCCCACGCCCCACCTTTTTCTTTTTCTTTTACACCATGCCATACTCATTAGATTACATAAGAAAGTCCAATATGGAAATAGTTAACAGTTGCTCCTCTCTTCTTCCCAAGAAAAGTATCAAAACCACATTATTGCACAGGGGAATTCTACCAAATCTTTAAAATGCAGATAATTCTAGTTATATTTAAACTCTTCTGGAGCCTAAAAAAAGAAGAAAAGCTTCCTAATTATTTTTATGAAGGGAATATAAAATACATAATGGACAAAGACTACAAAATTTACAAAAGCTAAGGCCAGGTGTGGTGGTTCATGACTGTAATACCAGCACTTTGAGAGGCCGAGGTGGGAGGATCACTTCAGCCCAGGAGTTAAAAACCAGCCCGGGCAATCTAGGCAGACCTTGTCTTTACAAAAAAATTGTTTTAATTAGCTAGGCACAGTTATGTGTGCCTGTAATCCCAGCTACTTGGAAGGCTGAGGCAGGATGCTTACATGAGTCCAGGAGTTGGAGGTTGCCATGAGCTATGATCATGCCACTCCACTCCATCCTGGACAACAGTGTGAGACTCTGTCTTAAAAAAACAAAAAAAGATACAAAGCCATAGACTAGTCTTTCAATTAATATCAATACTAAATAAATTATTAATAAGCAGAATCCAACGGCAATTTATGACTATGAAGGTTTTTTTCTCCTATGAATATATGGATGGCTCAACTCTAGAAAAATCTAATAATATTTATTGTCTATCAAATGATCATCTCCATGGATGCTAAAAAGGAATGTGACAAAATTCAACAATGATCCTAGATAATAAAACAAAGAAACTTTCAATAAAAGAAATGTTGACCATAAAGCCAAACTTCATAAAATATTTAAAGAAGTTTATTCTGAGCCAATATGAATGACCATGGCTCAGGTTACAGTTTGGTTTTAGACACTGGGGAGTGGGGAATGCTTGAGTGAAGACAAGGTGGGTTGTGGAAGCCAAGGTTCTTGTTTTGTAGATGGAGCCTCCAGGTAGCTGCCTTAGAGAGAATAGATGGTACATATCTCTTTTCAGAACATAACAGTGTCAGATTCTCATTTAATCTCTCCTAGATCTGGGAAAGACCTAAAAACAGAAGGAGATTCTTTACAGACACAAACTTCCTCATGAAAGACAGGTTTTCAGGGCCATTGCAAAATATGTTAAGAAAATATATTTTGGGGTAAAATATTTTTATTGCCTTCAGGATCTGCTATCTGTTATGTGATGGTATATCAGAGTTGGGTTGGAATTTGCTATTTTATTGCCAAAGCATCTGTTTTATCAGACTTATGCTCTGTATTTTAACAGTAATGCTGGTCAGTTAAGCCCAAACTCCGAAAGAAAAGGGGGTATAATGAGGCATGTCCAACTTCTCTTCCCCTTCATAGCCTGAAATTTAGTTTAGTTTGTGGTTGTTGTTCTGAGACAAGGTCTCACTCTGTCACCCAGGCTGGAGTGCAGTGGTGATCATGGCTCACTTCAGCCTTGAACTCCTGGGCTCTAGTGATCCTCCAGCCTCAGCCTCTGGAGTAGCTGGGACTACAGGCATGTGCCACCACACCCAGCTAATTTTTTAAATTTTTTGTAGAGATGGAGTCTTGCTCCGTAGTCCAGGCTGGTCTCAAACTCCTGGCCTCAAGCTATCCTTCCACTTTGGCCTCCCAAAGTGTTGGGACTACAGGTGTGAGCCACCCTGCCCAGACAAATATCTAAATTATTTGACAAAAAATTTTATTACTATACAACCACAAAAATTCTAGAAGATCTGAGGACATAATTTTTTTGTAACCTTGGAGAAACAAAAACTTTCCACTAAAAACTTATAGAACATTTAACTATATGATAGAGTAAATTTCCTGAAGACTATAAAATACCAAATTGATTTAAGAAGAGCTAGAATCTGACTAGAGCAATAATCATTAAATAATTGAAAAGGCACTCAGCACTTACGGGGGCCAGCCTACAAGACGTTCTCAAATAAACTTTTGCCTCCTACTATCAGGCCCTCTCTGAATCAGGGCTAAATCAGAGATGGCCCAGTGACCAATAGAATAAGAAAAAAAGTGACAGTGTGTGACTTCCAAGAATAGGTCATTAAAAGACATTGTGTCTTTTATCATGCTCTTTTTAACTGCTTACTCTAGGGCAAGCTTGTTCAACCTGCAGCCTATGGGTGCATGTGGCCCAGAATGGCTTTGAATATGGCCAACACAAATTCATAAACTTTCTTAAAAAATTAAGAGTTTTTTTTTTTTTTTTTAGCTCATCAGTTATCGTTAGTGCTAGTGTATTTTATGTGTTGCCTAAGACAATTCTCCTTCTTCCAGTGTGGCCCAGGGAAGTCAAAAGATGGCTTCCCTGCAGTCTAGGGGAAGCCAGGCACCATGCTATGAGGACACTCAAGCAGTCCTTTGGAGAGACCCATGAGAAAAGGAACAGAGGTTCCTGGCCAATAGCCAGCACTGACTTGGCAGTCATGTTAGTGAGACATTTTGATCCATCAGCCCCAATAAAGCTTTGTGATCACTGTGGACCCAGCCAACATCTAAGTGCAACCTCATGAGAAACCTTAAGCCAGAACCACATAACTGAGCTGCTCCCAAATTCCTGACTCACAGAATCAATGAGATAATGAATGGTTATTGTTGTTTTAGGCCATTGAGTTTTGGGATAATTTCTAACACAGCAATAGATAAACAATACAGAACTCTACCTCTAAAAAAGGCACTAAACCAATATAGCTTTAATAAACTTCTTTTGGGCCTTCAAGAAATTGACCATATTTATGCTACTTAAACCCTTCTTGGGCCAAAAAAAAAAAAAAAGTATTTCTAATGCATTCTGTGAAATAAACATAACTCTGATATCAAAACCAGACCAGGTATAGTATCCAGACAAATAACCAAATGGACAGATAGCCAGAAACCTAGAGAGATAAGCAATCAAACATTTAAGCTATCTCAGCTATGACCATATGTACAGGTATCTTAATTAAAATATTTGTAAAGTTGATCCAGCAGTGTATTAAGATAACAAAACATTATAATTAGAGTTTGATTGAATTAGTTCATCACTCAAAAAATGTATCATTGTAATTCACTACATTAGCATATCAATAAAGTTTATAATAATATCAATAGACAGTAAAAAAAAATCACTTGATAAAATTCAGCAGCAATTACATTGACCACATCTTAGTAAACTAAGATTAGAAATAAACCTGGAAAAGGGTGAAAGCTGAAACTCAATAAGTCCAACGCATAATGTAAATCATTCAAAGAATTCCTATTTAAATTAGAAGAAAATCAAATATTTCCTCTAACAACACTATTATTGAAAAATTGTACTTGAAATTTTACCCAATTTAATTAACTCAGAAAAAGGGAAATATTAAGAAGGAAGAAACAAAACTGACTTTGAGAGTATAGAGTTGAAACTATAGCACTAAGTCTACAGGTAAAATTAATCAAAAAAAGCAAAAGAGAGAGAGGTTAAGGGAGTTTAATATGGTGTCTCAATAAAAGGTCAATGTACAAAAATTAAAGAAATAATAAATTTGGAAATAACATACAAAAAGTCTCATTTACAACAGCAGAAAAGTATAAAACACTTAGGAATAGAGATAACAATAAGTGGGTACACTTGTACTAAGAAAACTAGAGTGGCTGGGTGCAGTGGCTAACGCCTGTAATCTCAATACTTTGGGAGGCCAAGACAGGAGGACTGCTTATGGTTAGAAGTTTAAGACCAGCTTGGGCAACAAAGCAAGACCCTGTCTCTACAAAAAATAAAAATAAATTTTAAAAAATTAAGAAAGGAAAACTAGAAAACTGTTTTCAAAGATACAAAAGACATGAGTAAATTAAGAGAGACAAAAGTTTCTGGAATGGACAAATAAACTATGCAAAGACTTTAAGTCTTTCAAATTACGGTATAAATTCAATATAATTCCAAACAAAATCTTACCAATTTTTGAAATGACAAGCCAACTTGAAAGTTTACATGAAGGCAAGGAGATTCCGGGCCAAGGTCGCGGCAGTAGTCGGCAAGCGTTTGATTCTCTGGCATTGGATCGCGAGCGGTGTCTGCTTGTTCCGCAGAGGGCTCCCAGGACAGATTTGTCCATTAGTTTAACTTCATTTTCAAATGCTCCATTTTGCATGCTCAATTTTGAAACTAGCCCGTGTGTTTGGCAGAATTTGACTGAATTCAGGGGTGAGAGTTTGATCCAGTCCAGTGTATTTGAATTTGAGCATGCAGTTCAACCAGTGTTTACAATGGAATTTCTGAAGACTTGTGTACTTAGAAGAAATGCGTGTACTGTGGTTTGCTTCTGGAGAAGCAAAGTTGTCCAAAGGCCTTCCATTAGAAGGATTAGTACTACCTCTCCAAGGAGCACTGTCATGCCTGCTTGGGTGATAGATAAGTATGGGAAGAATGAAGTGCTTCGATTGACTCAGAACGTGATGATACCTATCATACGCTAGCCAAATGAAGTCACTGTAAAAGTTCACCCTGCCAGTGTAAATCCTATAGACGTCAATATGAGAAGTGGTTATGGAGCTACAGCTTTAAATATGAAGCGTAATCCTTTACACATGAAAATCAAAGGAGAAGAATTTCCTCTGACTCTGATTCGGGATGTCTCTGGAATGGTGATGGAATGTGGGCTGGATGTGAAGTACTTCAAGCCTTGAGATAAGGTCTGGGCTGCAGTTCCTCCTTGGAAACAAGGCACTCTTTCAGAGTTTGTTGTAGTCAGTGGAAATGAGGTCTCTCACAAACCCAAATCACTCACTCATATATCAAGCTGCCTCTTCGCCATATGTGGCTCTCACAGCCTCATCTGCCATAAACAAAGTTGGTGACCTGAATGACAAGAATTGCACAGGAAGACGTGTTCTAATCTTAGGCGCTTCAAGCGGAGTTGGTAGTTTTGCTATACAGGTAATGAAAGCATGGGATGCTCGTGTGACAGCAATTTGCGCTCAAGATGCCAGTGAGCTTATAAAGAAGCTTGGGGCAGATGATGTAATTGATTACAAATTTGGAAGTGTGGAAGAGCAGTTGAAATCCTTAAAACCGTTTGATTTCATCCTTGGTAATGTTGGCGGATCCACTGAAACATGGGCTCAGATTTTCTCAAGAAATGGTCAGGAGCCACCTATGTGACTTTGGTGAGTCCTTTCCTCCTGAACATGGACTGATTGGGCATAGCAGATGGCATGTTACAGGCAGGAGTCACCATAGTCTCGAAGGCATTAAAGCATTTCTGGAAAGGAGTCCATTATCGCTGGGCGTTTTTTGTGGCCAGTGGTCCACGTTTAGGTGACATTGCAGAACTGGTGGATGTGGGAAAAATTGGGCCAGTTATTGAACAAACCTTTCCTTTTTCTAAAGTTCCAGAAGCCTTCCTTAAGGTGGAAAGAGGACACATATGAGGAAAGACTGTAATTAATGTTGTTTAAATAAAAATGCGGTTTAGTGATTAAAAAAAAGAAAGTTTATATGAAAGAGAAATTGGTTGGTAAAAGCTGCCTATTTTTGGAAATTAAAAAAAGTAGAGAAGGGAACCTTGTCCTACCAGATAATAAAACACGCTATAAAGCTATAGTAATTAAAACAGTGTGGTATCAGTGCAGAAGAACAGTATCGACAAATAGTATCAATGTAACAGTAAGTTCAGAATAGACATTGTTTGAATCATAATCCTGTTTATAATACAGGAAACATTTCAAATAAGCAAAAACTGAACTATAAAATAAATGGTGTTGAAATCATTGGAGATTCATCCAGAAAGAAAACTATACTAACATCCTTGCCTCAAAGTATGCTATAAATGTTAAAAACAGAAGAACTGTGAAGAAAATATAGGGAATACTGTATATTCATAATCTTGGGTGAGGAAGACCAAGAAAAAGATATGCACTTGACCACATAAAAATTTAAAAATTTGATACTAAGAAAGAGATCATAAATGATTTTTTTTTTGAGATAGGGTCTTGCTCTGTCACCCAGGCTGGAGTAGCACAATCGTGGCTCACTGCAGCCTGGACCTCCCAGGCTCAAGCAATCCTTCCACCTCAGCCTCCCAAGTAACTGGAACTACAGGCATGCACCAACATGCCCAGCTTATTAGTGTACTTTTTGTACAGACAGGGTCTCACTTTTTTGCCCAGGCTGGTCTCAAACTCTTGAGCTCAAGTGATCCTTCACACATAGTCTCCCAAAGTGCTAGGATTATAGGCATGAGCCACCATGCCCAGCCCATAAATAAAATTAGTAGACAAATGACATGCTAGGAAGAAAAGAATTTGCAACATATTTTACAGACAAATATTAATATTCCTATTATACAAAAAGTTTCTATAAATCAAAAATAAATATTTACCATCCTAGTTTAAAATATGGACAAAAGGGTGCTCATTTTGGTAATATACATACTAAAATTGGAATGATACAGAGAAGATTAACATGGCCCTGCACAAAAATGACTACAAATGCATGAAGTGTTCCATATTTTTTCATTTATTTCTAAAAATCTAAAGACCATAAATTGCTTAAATCTTTAAAATTGAGCCAGAGGTAATTATATATCATATTATTATATATTATATTATATTATACATATATATATTTGAGATGGAATCACGCTCTGTTGCCCGGGCTACAGTGCAATGGCGCAATCTTGGCTCACTGCAAACTTCGCCTCCCTGATTCAAGCAATTCTCCTGCTTCAGCCTCCCGAATAGCTGGAATTACAGGCACTCGCCACCATACCCAGCTAATTTTTGTATTTTTAGTAGAGACAGTGTTTCACCCTGTTGATCAGGTTGGTCTTGAACTCCTGACCTCAAGTGATCCACCCACCTCAGCCTCCCAAAGTGCTGGGAACACAGATGTGAGCCACCATGCCCGGCCTATATTTTTATATTATAAAAACATTAATAATAACAGCACACTGATGTTTAAAGGGAAAAACAAATATAACTTAAAATGTAAAGTCATTTCCATTACCTTTTTCTCCAGATTCCCTAAAACAGTGATTTCTCCCACATGAACCCAACTTCCTGTTTTGAGCAATGGAAACTTTCTTCAAACAAAAGCTTGTGCAGGATGTCTCTGTGAAATGCTGATGAGTGGCAGGGCTTGGTGGCTCACACCTGTAATCCCAGCACTTTGGGATGCCGAGGCAGGTGAATCACCTGAGGTCAGGAGTTTGAGACCAGCCTGGCCAACATGGCAAAACCCCGTCTCTACCAAAAATGCAAAAAATAGCTGGATGTGGTGGCGTGCACCTGTAATCCTAGCTAGTGCGCCTGTAATCCTAGCTACTGGGGAGGCTGAGGCAGGAGAATTGCTTGAACCCACGAGGTAGAGTTTGCAGTGAGCCAAGATCATGCCATTGCACTCCAGCCTGGGCAACAGAGAGACTCCATCTCAAAAAAAGAAAAAAAGGAATGCTGATGAGCGAGGAGCTGATCTGGTTGAAACAGGAAACCTTCCTACCTTACTGCCTTGAAACTCCTACAACTCAGCTAAACATTTTTGCTAACTGTCACCAGAGAATTCCCTTGGTTCCTTCAACTACTGAAACCTGGGCTTGCAACAGATTTCATTCAAGTTTAATTTAGAGGAGAACACACAATAATCCACCATCTGTTAGTGTCAAGATACTGGTATACAGTTGACCCTTGAACAACACTGGTTTGAGTTGCACAGTTCCACTTAGATGCAGATTTTCTTCCCCACTGCCATCCCTGAGACAGCTAGACCAACCCTTTTTCTTCCTCCTCAGCCTACTCAAGGTGAAGACAACAAAGATGAAGAACTTTATGATGATTCACTTCCATTTAATGAATAGTAAATGTATTTTCTCTTCCTTATGATTTTCTTAATAACATTTTCTCTAGCTTACTTTATTGTAAGATAACAGTACATAATCCATATAACCTACAAAATATATGTTAACTGTGTGTGTTATTGGTAAGGCTTCTGGTCAACAGTAGGCTATCAGTAGTTAAGTTTTGGGGGAGTTTAAAGGTATGTTTGCCTTTTTCCCTTTTTTTTTTTTTTTTTTTGAGACAGAGTCTCGCTCTGTTGCTCAGGCTGTAGTGCAGTGGCTTGATCTTGGCTCACTGCAACTTCTGCCTCTTGGGTTCAAGTGATTCTCCCACCTCAGCCTCCCAAGTAGCTGGTTACAGGTGTGTGCCACCATGCCTGGCTAATTTTTTATTTTTGTTTTTATTTTTTTAGTTGAGATGGGGTTTCACCACATTGGCCAAGCTGGTCTGGAACTCCTGGCCTCAAGTGATCTGCCCATCTTGGCCTCCCAAAGTGCTGGGATTAGAGGTGTGAGCCACTGCACCCGGCTTAAAAGTTATATTTGAACTTTTGATTGTGTAGGGGGTTGGTGCCTACACAATCCCCTAGATACTTGGTTGTGTATCATGTATCTCAGGTATCTACTGTATTTTATAGGTATCAAAGCAACAATGCAATTTATTTATTAATTTGTCAAATACTTTGTGTCTTCTATAAACCAGGCTGTTACAAATACAATGGCAAACAAAACTGGCAAGATCCTTGCTAATAAAGAAGTGAATAAACAAATTAGTAGCAACAAATACGGTAAGAAATAAATAACAAGATAATTTAAAATCATAGGCTGGGTGCAGTGGGGCATGCCTACAATGCCAGCACTTTGGGAGGCCATGGTGGGAGGTCACTTGAGCCCAGGAGTTCGAGGTCAGCCTGGGCAATATAATGAGACCCCCGTCTCAACTTTGTATTAAAAATTAAAAATAAAATAAAATAATAGTAAGTGCAATTAAAGAAATAAAGTCATATATTAGAGGTGTCCATGAAAAAATGAAATAAAGTAAGAAATTAAAATAGGAAAGTAAGAAAATGACATTTGATTTGAGTAATTATTATAAAAAAACCATTAATTTATAAAAACATATATATGGGCAAAGAGCAAGAACACACAATAAAGAAGAAATACAAAAGAACAGTATGAAGAGATTCTTCACTTCACCAGTGGCAGGGAAATGCAAACAAAAATATTATAAACTACTGCATGCTTACTTTAGAGGAAGCACAGAACAGTTCAGAAGGCTGCTCTTGTTTCTGACACTAAGTGCATTCTGACCCAAAACAATAATGGCCACAGTTTGGTTCACCTGGGTAGCACCTGCTACTCATAGAAGGACTTCTATCAATCACCCCTGCTGTCACTGTTTCAGTTTGTGAGGCATGTTGTGACCAGGGCCAGCTCCTTGGGCAATCTGTTTCACACAATCACAGCAAATTGAGAGGCACTGGGCAATCAGAGACACGGGCTGAGATTTAATTCTCACTGGTATTCAGGTGAGCTGGGACCTGCCCTGTTCAAATCTGCACTCTTTGTTCTTCAAATACAGAACAAGAGTGGTAGGAGAGTAGTTGGCAAAGCTCGTTAAGATGTGTCACAACACCTGAAGTATCACCCTTTCTCTTGAAAACTGGAAAACGGTATCTGGTCACAAGGCCAGCAATTAATGTCAATCTGCAGAAACAAACAGCCAAAAACAAAAACAACAATATAACAACAAAAAAAAAAACAACAAAAAACAGAGGCAGAGAAACTGATAATCACACCTTCCCAAATTAATGTTGTCTACATGCTAATTTTTTTCAATTAAATTTATCCTCTAATTCAAATTGACAATTTAAAGGTAAATCACCATTAGCCATCCTACTGGTACACTCTGTTTAGTGTAGCACATTGTAATTCAAATACTATCTACAAATCAATGTTTAAAGAAAAAAGTGATCTTTTATTTATTTATTTTAATTTTAATTTTTTCTTGAGACAGAGTTTCGCTCTGTCACCCAGGCTGGAGTGCAGCGGTGTGATCTCAGCTCACTGCAACCTCCGCCTCCCAGATTCAAGCAATTCTCCTACTTCAGCTTCCCAAGTAACAGGGATTAAAGTGCACGCCGCCACACCTGGCTAATATCTGTTTATGTTTTAAAGCTCTCTTGAGAGGTGAGGAAACATATACTACTTAATTTTCTTTTTCAGAATGAAGGAAACAGGCTAAATGCATGACAGCATTCTATTTCTAGACTCTCCCATGTCCCTGCTCCCTTCTCCCAGAAATTCTTAAACATGCACAAAGGAGATACATACAATGATGTTCACTAAAGCGCTATTCATAATAGTGAAAATGAGGAGATAACTGCCCATCAGAATGGAAAAAAAAGTTTAATCATACGGATTATTATTTAGCAGTTTTTCAGAATCACAACTAACAATTAAAAAGGGCTTGCCATGTGCCCTGCCCTGATGTGAGAACCTTATGTATATTCAGTCATTTTATGTTATGAGAGTTAATGAACTCGAAAGTGTCAAATGCTTACAACTGTGCCTGGTCCATAGTAAGCCCTTAGAAAATCTCAGCTGGGGTTTTTACCTTGTTTTTAATGCACTATTTTTTTTTTGTACAATAGCATCATTGTAATACCACCTGTATATTATTATCCCCATTGAGAGAAAAGAAAAGTAGGACACAAAGAGGTTAAGCTACTTGCCCAAAGCATTTGCTTTCTCGGGGTTCAAAAGCAGACAAGAAGGCTCCAGCCCAGAAGCTTCCTGCCAGAAAGCCACAGGCCAGAAGGCAGCACCTCCTCCGAAAGTTCAAGAAGGGTCAAAAAGCTGCAGCCCAGAAAGCACCTGCTCCAAAGTCATGTGGCAAAAAAGCATAAGAGGTGATTATAGAAGTAAATGAAGGTTCTTTTTGGCATGCTGGCAAAAAAAGAAACAAACAAACAACAACAAAGCCATGATAGAAATCCTTGGTTCTAAGATTATCAGTATCCTCTCCATGCATACTATCTCTTTACATTCTTCTTCCTTTCTTCAGCTTTCCCATGACCAATGATAAAGCACAGATTTTGGATACTAGTCAAATAAACTGGACAGAAAGTAATAAAGTTTTTTCTGCCATCGTCTCCCAGAAGAGTGAAGAAATGAGGAAAACACAGTGAAACCTCATTATACAGCATCTTCCTACAGATGTAGTGGGACCAATCCCCTCCCCACACGCATAGCACCCCGTTATAACACAAAGCAGAGATCCCCCTGGCATTCTATCAGAGTTCTGATGGATGTATTTTTCTGAAGGATGTCTAGGCAGTGTGACTTGGCATTCTGCCCAGGGAGTGAGGGATGTATGTATGTGTGTGTGTGTGTGTGTGTGTGTGTGGGTGGGTGTGTGGGTGTATACATGCATTTGAAGAAGTTTCCCCAGATGATTCTGACCTCCCTGCAATATACTATGAGACCAAGAAGCCATAGCTTTTAAAAAGTGTAAAATCACATTTACAGAAGCATCACACCCCAGGAAAGGAATGTCATTTCTGATTTGCAAAGCTCACAGGAAGGGAGAGAAGACTTTCATCTGTCATTCCTTGAGATTCTGAGGCAAGGGACCTTGCTACATCTGCTGAGAGAAAGCCACTTTGTTCATCTTGAATTTCCATCACCATCACAGAGAAGCTGTAGGCCAAACTTGTTCTTTCATTCCCCTATCATCAGATAAAATAATCTAAATTAAACACAAAGATGTTAAATGTAAATGTACATACTCCCAAGCTAACAATGTAATATGATTTGTGAAAAGAGCTATTCTATATTGATCATAAGCCTTTAGGTGAGGCCTGTGAGGAGGGCATGGACTTGGGGCTGGGGTACAAGCAATGGTTTTCATATCACGGAGAATTGGGATGCCATTAACCGTGTAAAATAATCATTCCAAGTGAATGTATGGTACACCTGCATTAGGAGTTAGAGACCAGCCTGGCAACATAGTGAAACCCCGTCTCTATTAACAAAAAATAGAAAAGTTACCTGGGCATCGTGGCACGCACCTGTAATCCCAGCTACTCCAGAAGCTGAGGCAGGAGAATTGCGTAAACCCAGGAGGCGGAGGTTGCAGTGAGCTGAGATTGTGCCACTGCACTCCAGCCTGGGTGACAGAGCAAGACTCTGTCTCAAAAAAAATTAACACATAAAAATAAAGATGCTGAACAAAATTAAAGATAAGTTATAAAAAAATAATCAATTCCTTTGGTCAGGTAAAGTTCTCTCATTTATGAATTATTAATAATGATATCTAAAAATGTTTTTATCTCCAGTGCCCAAAGCACTGAGCAGTTGAATTCCGGTTTCTCCTCAGACTGCCTTGTTTTAATAGACAGAAGATACTACGGAGCATCCACTTCCCACACAGAAATAAAGGCACTTGTACGTATCACCTTTTTGTCACCATTTGAACCACTAAAATGCTGTTTGAAAATTTAGTGATGATCAGAATCTTTTCAAGGGAAACCTTACAAAATATGGGTGCCCAGGCATCACCCATCTCCCAGCTATGTGTTCAGACATGGTGGGAATGAAAACCCACAGCCTATGAAGATGGGGTTAGGCTTATTCTTCGCTCTTTGTGGATGTATCATGTCTAGATTTGCTCAAGTTTTCAGCATTCTTGGGGCACTAACCTAAAAATCTCTTGGAAGATTGCAGAGGTTATAAGGTTGAACTCAGTGTAGCTGTCCTCCAAGCTGCATACCCCAGAGGGAAATTTATGAAGATATTAAGTCTATATAACAGCATCAGAGAAAAAAGGAAGTTGGTCATTTGGTGAACACTCCATTAACGACCGTTATTAACTTCTTACTATATGTTCTAGATTGTAATAGGAACTGGGAAAAATGGAAGAAAACTCTCAGACCATTACTTAAACAAGTACAATTAGAAAATAAGATATTAAAAAATCATCTCAAGCTTCTTCTTGATTTCTATATTGCTAAGGTTAGAAACCCACCAGAAGGATTACTTTATCAAGAAAACATCATGGAGGCCAGTGGCTTGTGGAGCGCAGTGGCTTGTGCCTGTAATCCTAGCACTTTGGGAGGGCAAGGCGGGTGGATCACTTGAGGTCAGGAGTTTGAGACCAGCCTGACCAACACGATGAAACCCTGTCTCTACCTAAACATACAAAAGTTAGCTGGGTGTGGTGGTGAGCACCTGTAGTCACAGCTACTCAGGAGGCTGAGGCAGGAGAATCACTTGAACCTGGGAGGCAGAGGTTGCAGTGAGCCAAGATAGCGCCACTGCACTCGAGCCTGGATGACAGAGTGGGACTTTGTCTCAAAAAAAAAAAAAAGAAAGAAAAAGAAAAAGAAAAGGAAAATATAATGGAATTTTTGATAAACCCATGAGTTACTCTTCATGGGAAAGACTGCGACAGGCGGTCTAAACTACACTGCATATTCAAATATTGGGAAGCTTTGGTTTTCTCAGGATTGCTTACAGGCTGAGAGGCTTAGGAATCCTGGGATTTAAAGAAGAGTTGAGAAAAAGTTTCCAGGATGCTGGTATGTATGTCCCTAAAGCAAAATAACCAAAGAGAATTTCAGGGGCAAGAATGGCTGAAGAAATTCAAAAACTGTGGTAGCTAAAATCTGTGTGCTGTGACATCCTGCTCTACAACAGCCCTGTGTGAGTGGTGCTTAGTACTCGATGGAGTGGGGACTGTGTCAGCAATGTTGGGAAGACAGCAGCGGGATCAGGAACAGGAGAGGAAGGGCTAAGGATTGAACTTATTTGATGTTAATATTAATATTCACTAGGACCATGAATCCTTTTAAGTATTTCTGCTTATGTTTTAGAGCGAATCAGCTGAATTTTTAAAAAGGTTACCATTAAACTGACACCTAACTATGCATGTTTCTAATATGAATTTTTTATAATATCAGATTCTAGAATAAAGCATAATATATCCAGGAGGAGAGGTAATTGAGGCCGTGGACTAAACTGAAGCAGACCTGGGTTGAAATTCTGGCTCTTGGCCTTCATTTTCTCATCCATTCACTATTGTGAGGATGGAATGAGAGGTTCTAAGTTTCAGCACTGAGCACGGCTGGTGCATGGTAAGCATTCAATAATGGGAATCATTATTGTGACCTTTAATGGGTTCAGGAGAAATTTCCTTTGATCCAATTCTGAGACATTGGAAGAATTCCTTTGTCAAGATGTTTATACCATCAGAAAGATAATTATTTTTTCTTAAAAATATTGTTTTATATTAAAAACATATAACTATTGTCAGGGCTTTTCTGACTGCAAGTAACAGAAACCTCAACTTAAACAAGCTTAAGGGAAAAGGGAATTTATTGATTTTAACAACGAAAACACCAGGGGCCTTCAATCTCATTAGATAAATGAGTTCAAAAATGTCAAGAGTCCCTCCCTCTCTCTCTCTCTCTCTCTCTCCCACTCTCTCTCAGTTCTACCATTTTCTGTTGGAATTTGGCATCAGACTGACCCTACCCATGTCGTGGTCACTGTCACTGTCAGGCTTAGATTGCCCAAACTTGATATCTAGGAGAAAGAGACCTTCTTCCATTTGTTCTCACAAAAGTTTCATAATTGAGTCTCATTGACATTGAATGAGTCATGAACCCATCACTGAACCAACCCATGGGCTAGAATAGTGGGATACCCTGACTGAATAGGCCTGGGACACATGCCCACCCTTGGAGATAAGGGGAGGTGACTTACTCATAACACATGGATGGAGAGTGGGAAGGGAGTGGGAATGAAGGTAAAATTTTTTTACCCTAAAAAAATTTGAGTATTGTCACAAGAAAAATGAGAAATGGATGCTGTGCAGACAAAAACACAGACATTCACAAAAACCTTGAATGGCACTGGTCTTAGAGGAGAGGGACAACATTATGTACCACAAGCACATAATGAATAGGACTGGACAATGGACCAAATCTGTGTTGTGGAAGGCACTTAATAATGGCATTTTTAGGCCAGGCGTGGTGGCTCACACCTGTAATCCCAGCACTTTGGGAGGCCGAGGTGGGCGGATCACGAGGTCAGGAGATCGAGACCATCCTGGCTAATATGGTGAAACCCCATTTCTACTAAAAATACAAAAAATTAGCTGGGCGTGGTGGCGGGTGCCTGTAGTCCCAGCTACTCGAGAGGCTGAGGCAGGAGAATGGTGTGAACCCGGGAGGCGGAGCTTGCAGTGAGCCGAGATTGCACCACTGCACTCCAGCCTGGGCAACAGAGTAAGACTCTGTCTCAAAAAAAAAAAACAAAAAATGGCATTTTTAGCCATCCATGTTATTGTAATTAATCTTTTAAAGAGAAGATGCCTCAATATACCCTCAATACATAGCCTATTATATCCACTGTATAATAAATATTTTTTCTAGGTTTCTTAGTATGTCCTATTTTTTGTTTTGTTTTGCTTTTTGTCTTAGTCCATTTTATGGTGCTATAACAGAATACCACAGACTGGTTAATTTATAAACAATGGAAGTTTATTTGGCTTATATTTCTGGAGGCTTGGAAGTCCAAGAATGAGAGGCTGCATCTGGTGAGGGCCTTCTTGCTGCGTCATAACACGGTAACAGGTATCACATGGTGAGAGAGCATGTGAGAGCAAGCAAGAGAGGGCCAAACTTTTATAACAACCCACTTTTTATAGTCCACGTTTATAACAAACCCACTCTTAAAATAACAAACCCATTCCTGCGATAATGGCATTAATTTATTCATGGGGGCAGCATCCTCATGACCTAATAATCTCTTAAAGGTTCCATCTTTCAACGCTGATGTATTGGGGGTTAAGTTTCTAGCATATGAACTTTGGGGGACACATTCAAAGCTAGCAGCATCTTACCTTTGTATTTATTTTTACTTATGCTATTCTAGTAGGAAAATTTTTTTGTGTCTCTTCACATGAAGGATAAATATTTTTAGAGGCAGCTAAAAGAATTTTCTCCCCTTGAAGCACAGATTTCTTTCCTTTTTAACCTCTTTTTGCCTTCACTTTTCATATCTCCATGTATTCTCTCAAGACTCATATATTCAACGTGTGGTAAGAAGGATACCACTAAGAAAAGATAAACTGCATATAGTTATTATGGCTGACGGATCTATGTAATTATAGACTGTTAAGCACATTACAGTTGAGGAAAGCCACAGAATGTTGGTAGAACTCAAGACAGGAGAATATTGGTGTGTTTGGAATGTATATTATTTTATTCTGCGATGGCATAGCTCTCTGTGCATTTGTTAACAATTTCTTTTTTTAAGCCCAGTGGCAAGAAGAGCTTCTTGTTATATGGTCATAATGTTGAAAATTGTAATATATGCTGCAAGAATGCAACTCCAGTACTGTGGAAAGAATTCCTCTTTTGGAATTTACAGGAATCACAGTCGAAGAACAGAGAAAGGTGAATAAGGAAGCAAACTGAGCTGATATGATATTTCCTTCAGCTCAGGACTGGCCAACATCTTTATTTGGTACAAAGAACAGTGCCAGATGACAATCCTACAGAGGAATTTGAAAGAAAATCTCCAGCGGAGGGTGAGATTTGAAATGCAGAGTCAGTGAGCCAACTTCTGATAGTCCAGGCAGCCAGGTCAACTGCAATGCCTACAGGTGAGGTTGGGCTTCACTAATAACACCTAAACCATCAAAATCACCTGGAGGAGCATTTAAAAGGTGGACTCCTGGTTCTACTCCAGATGCATTGAATCCAAATGGGGATGAGGCAATAAGTCTGTGCCAAGCACTGTTCTAGGCACTTTTATTATTCTGGACACTATTATTATCATAGTCCCTATTATTTTATTAATTCAACCATTGCATTTGTCAGGTATTGGCCCCTTTTTACAGGTGAAGAAGCTGAGGCTCAGAGAGGTTGAGTAACTGGCATCGAGTCACAGAGCTGTGACTCCAACCAAAGTCTGCTTCTAGCGCCTTTGTAACCCTTGCACTCTGCCAGAACTGGAAATGAGGTAATGGAGACATACTCAAACTTATAGTTGTGTTATTTTTAAAATAATAAATATTATTATTTAGTGCCCAGAAACATGTATTCTTTTTCTGATGCCATTTATTGCACATGTAACCTTTTTAGAAATAAACTTTATTTTTAGAGCAGTTTTAGATTTTCAGAAAAATGCAAAAAATTGTACAGATAGCTAGGTCCCATACATACTGCACCCAGCTTCCCCATTGTTAACATCTAACATTAGTATATTTGTTACCATTAATGAATCAATATTATTTAGAGTCAGCAGAACTGTATGCAAGACTCAGGGTTATCTCTTATGGCTTGAGCGGTCTTGGAAAAGAAACATAATCTGTTGAATCTTAATTTACTCATCTCTAAAATATAAGTAATAATAATAAAGATTTTGGCCAGGTGTGGTGGCTCACACCTGTAACCCCAGCACTTTGGCAGGCCAAGGCGGGCGGATCTTTTGGGGTCAGGAGTTCGAGGCCTGCCTGTCCAACATGGTAAACCCTGTCTCTACCAGAAATACAAAAAATTAGCTGGATGTGGTGGCATGCACCTGTAATCCCAGCTACTGGGGAGGAGAATTGCTTGAACCGAGGAGGCCAAGGTTGCAATGAGCCGAGACTGTGCTGCTGCACTCCAGCCTGGGTGACAGAGTGAGACTCCACCTCAAATAATAATAATAATAATTTCACAGGGATATGTTGGTATATTTGAGGAGAGCCCCATACCCACACTCTTCCCTTGCCTACCTCCTGTAGAGGCTGAAGTAGCTCCATTAGGGTTCCTAAATCTGATAAAGAAAAATGTGGCTATCTGCAGGGAAGTGGTTTTATAATACCGAATTCCAACAAGAAACATATTGGCACGATGAGGCACACTGGCCAGACAATAACAGGGAGCACAGAGGAACAATGAGCATGTGCTTCAGCCAGAAACTTTCTAGAAGCAGCAGCAAGGAAGGAGTGGGGCTCCACATGGCCAGTGTCCTCTTCAAAGCTCATCAATCTGTTAGAGTCCCTCCCCTTTCCTAAGGAGAGGAGCTGGATGGGGGTCAGAGGCTGGGAGCTCAATGCTAATGGTGATTGGACACCCCTAGTAGTTAGATTTACACTTAGGAATTGACCTACATGTGTGCACTCAAATGAATGTGTCTGGTACAAGTATTCACCAGAAAGGTACTTGCTCCAAATAACTCCTTCTGCAACAGGTACTCATTTTTATTTTTCATCAAAGACTGCTATATTTGTTTCAGAAATAGTCCAGTTGCTAACAGTGAGTAGGCATTTGTGTAAGGTTGTAAAAAAGAAATGTTTTGAAATGAATCTCTATTATGACTACAGAAAAGACAATCAGATTAATTATGTTCATGGACAGCGTTTTACTGATAATGATTTCCAAAATTGGCTCATCAACAGAGTCACCTTTTTGAAAATAGAGACCTGGATGGGTGCGGTGGCACACCCCTGTAATCCTAGCACTTTGGGAGGCCGAGGCAGGTGTTCGAAACCAGCCTGACCAATATGGTGAAACCCTGTCTCTATTAAAATTAAAAAAAAAAAAATTAGCCAGGCATGGTGGCGGGCACCTATAATCCCAGCTACTCAGGAGGCTGAGGCAGGAGAATCGCTTGAACCTGGGAGGCAGAGGGAGGTTGGAGGTTGCAGTGAGCCGAGATTGCACCACTGCACTCCAGCTTGGGCAACAAGAGCGAAACTCTGTCTCAAAAAAAAAAAAGAAAAGAAAAAAAGGAAGAAAGAAAATAGAGTCCTATGTTCCACTTGGTCAGAATATCCATAAGTGAGGCTGAGGTCGCTAGAGAAATTTTTGAAAAGTGCCTTAGGAACGCTAGTAATCAGAGTTTGGGACTTATTGGTGCAGACTGTATAGAGGGACATTTAACACTGAAATTTGATTTTGGGTGAAAAAAGTAATTTTTTTCCCTAAAAACCATAGTCTTGAGTTATTAAAATGTACAAACAGATTTTATTTATTTTATAAGCTTTTCTGACTTTGAAAGTCTTTTCAAATCAGTAAAATATTTTAGTCTCAGCAAAACTATTATATTCTATACTTTGGCTATTAAGTATTAGCAGACAAGCTGCTGGAAAAGTTAAATCTTTAAAAAGTTTGCAATTTGTGCTGCAAATGCTAAACCTATGTTTTTATCTTCCCTATATATACCGATGTTTTTATCCTCCTTCCTGAGAAGGTATGCTGTTTGAACAGACAAAAATACAGATACTGCCTAGCCAACACTAAAAATAGGAACATGTCTGAAATTCACATACTCATATGCCTCCCTGCACTTCCTGTACCCACCTACTGCTTTCTCTAGTTTCTATCCCTGGCTGCGGAACCAGCCCATCCCTTTCCTAAAGAGGCTTCTCTGTTGCTACATATCAATGCAGAAACCATTGACGTGCTTCTGTGTCAGCAATAATGCTCTGTCTTTCCTACCTCATTCAAGGATCCCAGGATTCTTTTTGAACAAGAAAGAAAGGTTTATTAGTCCTCCCCACACTTCAATGCGGCAAGGAGTCAGTATTATTTTGAATGAGGCCCAGAATGAACTCAGCAGATTCATAGAACTGGTCAGAGTGGCAGGTGAATCAAAAGTTGAGTTACAGGCCAGGTGTGGTGGCTCATGCCTGTAATCCCAGCCCTTTGGGAGGCTGAGGTGGGAGGATTGCTTGAGTCCAGGAGTTAGAGACCAGCCTGGGCAACATAGTGAAAACTTGTCTCTGAAACAACAACAACAAAAATTAAAAAATTAGCTGAGCATGGTGGCACTTACCTGTAGTCTTAGCTACTCAGGAGGCTGAGGTGGGAGGATTGCTTGAGCCCAGGAGGTTGAAGCTGCAGTGAGCCATGCTCACACCACTGCAGAGTGAGATCCTGTCTCAAAAAATAAATAAATAAAAGTTGAGTTACAAATTTGTTTCTATTGGTTTTTTTTTTTTTTTAGACGGAGTTTCCCTCTTGTTGCCCAGGCTGGAGTGCAATGGCATGGTCTTGGCTCACCTCAACCTCCGCCTCCCGGGTTCAAGCAATTCTCCTGCCTCAGCCTCCCGAGTAGCTAGGATTACAGGCATGCACCACCATGCCCGGCTAATTGTATATTTTCATTAGAGATGGGGTTTCTCCATGTTGGTCAGGCTGGTCTCCAACTCCCGACCTCAGGTGATGTGCCCGCCTTGGCCTCCCAAAGTGCTGGGATTACAGGCATGAGCCACTGCACCTGGCCTCTATTGCTTCATTTATTTATTTATTTATTTTAATTCAAGAAGAAAAATCAGCCTTATGTCTGCCAGTTTCTATTCTATTTAGCAGATTTCTCTTTGCTTTGTTCTAAATATACATAATTACTTTTTCATTTTCATACTCATTCTGAGAAATCTGAATTAATAATTATTTACTGAGTGCAATATCAGCTAGCTATTGCTGCATAACAAATTTAGCTGGTTAAAACAGCAAGTACTTATTTCACTCATAATTCTGCAGGCTGGTTGTGTAGCTTTTCTCTAGGTTTGCTTTCCTGTTCTTTGCTGGGCTTGCTTATATTGTCTGTGGTCAGCTGGAGATTTGACTGGAAGCTGGATGGTCTAGGATGGCCTTGCTCACATGTCCGGCCGTTGGCAGGTTGTTGGTTAGGAGCTGGCTGGCAGGGACACTTCATACTTTCTCCTTTCATCTTTCAGCATGCCAGTTTGGGCTCCTCCACATGGAGATCTCAGGGTTCTAACCACAGCAAAAGAGAACAAGGCATAATGTGCAAGTCTCTGCTTGCTTCTTATTTGCTAGTCTCATTTTCTAAATCAAGTCACACAGCCAAGCCCAGACGCAAGGTATGGTGAAATAGAATCTACCTCTTGGTGGGAGGAGCTTCAAATTCACATTTTAAAGAGGTATGCTTACAGAGATGGGAAAAAATTATAGTCATTTTTGCAATTCACCACCAGTACATAGTTTGTATGAAGCTTAACATTTTAGAAATATAGACAAAGCATCCGCCATTGTGTGTGTGTATATATATAATATATATATAAATTTATATATATATATATATATGCACTTTTTTTTTTGAGACTGAGTCTCACTCTGTCACCAAGGCTGGAGGGCAGTGGTGTGATTTTGGCTCACTGCAACCTCCACTTCCCAGGTTCCAGCAATTCTCCTGCCTCAGCCTTCTAAGTAACTGGGATTACAGGCACTCACCACCGCGCCCAGTTAATTTTTGTATTTTTAGTAGAGACGGGTCTTCACCATATTGGCCAGGCTGGTCTCAAACTCCTGACCTCAAGTGATTCACCCGCCTCAGCCTCCCAAAGTGCTGGGATTGCAGGCATGCACCACCACGCCTGGCCTGGATTGTATATTTTATTTTAGCCTTACCTGCTGATTGAGTTGCAAATCAGGCAAGTCGAAAAAAAAAAATCCCATTCGACAACACAAATCCTACTTTTCTTTCATGATTTTAGTTTCAGATTACCTGTAGAACTTGATGCCACACAGAGCAGTTGCAGTTGGACCAAAGTGTGGTGATTATAGATGGGGTTGGGGTGAGGAAAGGCTGTCCATGGGCTGTGAGAGTAGGCTTCTCAAGTTTTAAGCTTCCATGATGTCACCATGGACTAAAAGCTTGCAGAAACAAAAGGAAAACAGCAAAAATGCTTTATTTTTCTATAAGAGCAAATAGATCTGGCCTCGCTGGGCAAAAAAACATGTATGCATAATTTAGTGAATGGGCATCTTTGGTGACTGATGGAAAAGGGATTTAGCTGAGACTCAATCCCTGGGTGAGAGACAGAGAGTAGTGAGTCAAAACCTCTAGAGAACGGTCACAAAGAGAGCTCATTCTCCATGTAATAATGTTTGAGAATCCTTCAGTGTGAGGAAGGTAGTAATTCTTTTTGATTTTTCTGAGACAGGGTCTATGTTGCCCAGGCTAATCTCAAACTCCTGGCCTCAAGGAATCCTCCTGCCTCACCCTCCTGAATCACTGGGACTACAGAAAGGTAGTAAGTCTACCACTGTGCCCAGAAAAGTAGTAAGTCTAATAAACCTAGACATTAATGCAGCATGACCCTGTTTTTTACTTTCCTCGTTTATAATGGGGGAGAATCTGGTTGTGCTAGGGATGTTTTCCCCCTACCTCGTCCCTTTCTCCTCACCCGTGAACAGGTTCTGTGGATCATGATTCTTAGATAATATTCCTCACTTTCCCAAATGGCCTGCTCATGGTTATCTCTTCCCATAAGGCAATGAAGTGAAAATAGACATTAGCTGTCAGCTGTCAATCATTTTTTATGAAGACCCCCAAGATGAGCACTGAAGAAATACTCCCCTTTCTGAAATACAGTAATATTCAGCTTTGCTTGGTATCTTCTGAGCCAAAACATGGCTTAAGTGATGAATAAGTAACAGGGTGTTGCCTGAATTTTCCATATGCCTCACATTTTGGAAAAGCCTAGGAGAAAGGAAATAACTGTTAAAACATAAACATTGAGAGGGAATTTATAGTAATGTGGTTCAGTGCCCTAAGCTTATAAAGGGGCCTTGGCCACTATTGATTCCAAGTGGAAAAGCAAGACCAAAAAGTTAGGCCCAGGACAAGGCATGGTGGCTCACTCCTGTAATCCCAGCACTTTGGGAGACCAAGGTGGGTGGATCACCTGAGGTCAGGAGATTGAGAGCAGCCTGGTCAACATAGCGAAACCCCATCTCTACTAAAAATACAAAAATTAGCTGGGCGTGGTGGCACATGCTTGTAATCCCAGCTTCTCGGGAGGCTGAGGCAGGAGAATCACATGAACCCGGGATGTGGAGGTTTCAGTGACTAGAGATCACGCCACTGCAATCCAGCCTGGGCAACAGAGCAAGACTCTGTCTCAAAAAAAAAAAAAAAAAAAAAAGTTAGGTCTTGGGCCCCTCGGCCCCTCCTCCACCAGAGCTCTCTTATCTGTTATCTGTTTTACACATTGGGATTTTGCAAAATGTTTCTTGTGATGAAAGTTTCCTAATGCTAAGACATCATTTTGTAGATGAGGAACTGGAGGCCCAGCAAAATGTGGTGACTTGCTCAAGGTCACAGCAGTTGTCATTTGTTGAGCTGAGGGCGGAACTCAAATCTCAATCTCTAGTCCAATGTACTTTGTTCTATAGCATGCCATGTTCCACTTCTTCATATCTAAGCTGGGCAACTTCCTTTTAGTAGATTCTCACTCACAAGATATTAAGGATATTGCCAAAATGTATAGCACAAATCAGAAGATGAAAACTGTCATTTCTTTTTTGAATGATTGCTACAATATGATCTGGGTTCTGGCTTAGAGTTCTTACTTTGCCTCTCACAAGCTGGGTGACATAATATTTTTCTGTTGCTCTTTCCTCCCTATAAAATGGAGACACTGAAGTTCAAGTGAGTTACTGCTCAGTTTTTTTGTAAGCAAGAAGATAATAAATATGGAACATTGCAGTGATGATTGATTTATTGCTTTAATTGTACACAAAAACCCCACTTAATATTCATGAATTGTAAAGGCCTTCACTGAAATGAGCACTTCTGGAAAAACTGAATATAATCATCAAAACAGTCACCATTTATCTGGTACATAGCTTGAGTTAATTAGACAATGATCAAAGGATTCATGTTCTGCCTGCAAACCACGCACTCAGAGGTGCAATGAGAATTAAGGAATGAGCCTTAAGAAGTCATTCAACCATTCCAAATCTTACAAAGCCTGCAGTACTAAAGGAGTACTAGAGAAGAATCCACTGGTTGTCTTTTAAGTGGTAAAGCAACACAAGCACCAAGAACTTCAGTTGGTCCTGAAATTCTCTGCTTCCATTTAAGAGCTGCTTCTAAATGTGGCAGCTCACCCACTGTCTAATTAAAATGCCTTCCCAGAACAGCTTCAAATCTGACAAGGGTGAATAGTTGCCAAATGGGCTTCTTTCTTTGCTGGATCTGTAGGTAATTTGCCTCCAGCTAACAAGAATTGGCACTAAACACCAAAAATGGGATAATGAAGGCCTTTGGACACTGGGTAAGGACTGTTCTATGATGCTCAAGTGTGGAATGAGCACTGTAGTGTGAGCCCAGATTATTCTGTCCATAAACTCGGCAACTGCATGTTGGGCAATTCTATGTTACAAGGTAGCCCGAATGTTACTCAGATGAACAGTACTCTAGTGTATGCAATGGTTTCTAGTTTATTTTGTGATGATGTACAACATCCGGTTTATGTTTCTATTTGTAGATCAAGAAGAAAAAATAACCATGGGGCAAAGGACTAGTGTTGGGAGATTTGTGTTCAGGTTCTGGCCCAGTTATTGATTCTCTTTTCTGGATTAAACTTTGGGCTCCTGTTTCCTTGTCTGTGAAATAAATGGTGGGAGACAAAGATAAATTAAGGATTTCTAAAGTATGTTTCCAGTTCCAACAGCTTCTTATTTTATAGCTAAAGGTAGTAAGAACCAACAACTTTCACTCTTTGGATTAAAGTGCTCTATGCATCAAATCCCAGTGGGTTTTAAAATTATACTGAATCTAGGCCAGGCACAGTGGCTCATGTTTGTAATCCCAGCACTTAAGGAGGCCGAAGTGAGAGAATTGGTTGAGGCCAGGAATTCGAGACAAGTCTGGGCAACAAAGTGAGATCCCATCTCTACAAAAAATTAAAAAATTAGCCAGACTGGTGGGCTCCCTTAGCCTCAGCTACTTGGGAGGCTGAGGTGGGAGATTGCTTGAACCTGAGAGGCGGAGGCTGCAGTGAGCCAAGATCACATCACTGCACTCCAGCCTGGGTGACAGAGCGAGACTCCACCACACACACACACACACACACACAAAATCAGCAAACTTTGAGTAAAGCAGATTCCCCCTCCATTCCCTCTATTATGTCAGTGGGCCTCATCCAATCAGTGGAAAGGCCTTAGTAGAAAAAGACTGCGGTCTCTCGAGGAAGAAGGGAATCTGCTGCTAGACTGCATTCGGACTCGCAACTGCAACAACTCTTTCCTAGGTCTCCAGCCTGTCAGCCTACCCTGCAGATTTTGGATTTTCTAGCCTCCACAATTGTGTGAGCCAATTTCTTAAAATAGATCTCTCTCCATCTCTTTCTCTCTCTCTCTCTCTTTCTCTCTCTCTATATATATAAAATATGAGGAACCTAATAAAAATATATTCTATATATAGTTAAGGAACTTGTTCATTAAATACATGTATTATATACTAGAGAGAGATTTATTTTAATGAATTGGCTCACACAATTATGGAGAAACCAACATGATGTGTGTGTGTGTGTGTATATTTATATATAGGTTTTAGGTTGTGTACTATATATATCATATATAGTATGTGTATATATATATAATGTGTATATATTATATATACTATGTTGTGTATACATACTCTATGTAATATATACCATATATATGTGTCATGTAAACATGGATTCTCTTTTTCTCCCAACACAACCTCAGGAGGTAGATATGAGGAAACTGTGGTTCACAGAGGTTAAGGAGCTTGTCCAAGTGTACATAGCTAGCAAGAGGTAGATGCAAAATTGTAAGAACCACGCTGTCTCCATAACGCATGTGAAGACTCTTAGTTTATGCCCAGAAGAGGGAAGCTGCTCAATATTAATTCTCTTCCGTTTTCCTCTTCCACTGCCTTTTGTCTGATTACTCAGCTGTTTCTGCTAATGTCAGAGCCAGTGAAAGCCACGAAGTGTCGTACCATTCAATTTATAGCTCTCGTGCCATCAGGAATCTGCTCCAAGGTGATTCATGCTGTGACATTCTAGCCAGAAACTGAATCTGAAAGCAGCAACTAACTGTTCCACCACAGGATCTTGGGTTGCCTCAGTTTTCACGCCTACTAGTGGTCAGTTATGGGAGTGTGGTGACCCACTGAACACAGCCGCAGTCTACACTGCTGAATTCATACCCAGAGCCAACCACAGGCCTGTGCGTTGGAATGCACACCTCATTGTCTCCACTTTCATGGTGTAATTTAGAAGTGAGAAGGGAGAGTGGGTAGTGGTCTGAACCTTCCTTTCTGGCTTGGTGCTGCTCAGAGAGCAAGCTGTCTTTCTCATTTGGTAGTCTTGGTTTGGAAGCCGTAAGTGAAACAAGAACCATCCACTCTCTGTTTCTTCTCTCTTCTCCTTTGAAACCACGAAAGAGATCTGTTCCATTAGCACAAAGAATGCATTTATGCATTTTAAGTGGTTCTTTGGCAAACCAGAGGGCTGTTCTATGACAGGCTACAGACATTGTCTGTAGCTATTCATCAGATTGATAGGTGTCCTTATAATATCGATATCCCCAAATGTAACTTCATCTCCTTGTAAATTCATCGCAGTGGGGATGCTAATGTTGGCACCAAGCTATTCTATAATTTTAAGGGAAGAGGTTTTGAGAGTCCTCTGCAGTTGGCATAACACATGTTATATCCATGCTTGGATTTTGATATACTGAAATAATTTAAAATTTGAGATAATTCTACAAAGACTGGTTTATTTCAAGTTGATTACTTCCCGACTTCCAGTATGTAACATAGGCACCATTATCTTTTTAATTAAGCTGTTGCTGTAAAGCATATTTTAAAAAGGCCATTTAAAACTTTAAGACTGTATTATACATTTTTATGGTCTGATGCAATGAACAATGTTTGGCATCTGTTATATTGTATCTACAAACACAGTGTATAGCATGGGACAAAGTTACAAACATTGGAGCTTTAACTCCTTTCCCGTCTCCTGTCCCTCCATTCTTCCTAAATGATACCAAATTCTTTTCTGGTCCACAAACACGTCATTCTCTTTCATGTCTTGCATGTGCTGTCTCCTTGGTCTACAACGATCCTTCCATCCTTCATCCCCCTCCTCCTACTACACTTCACAAATTGCTGTTCACCCTTTGACACTCAGATTAAATGTCACCTCCCTCAGGAAGCCTCTTATGATTTCCTATGCTACTTCCTTGGAGCTTAATATCTATTTCCTATAATTTTCCAAAGGCATATAAATTCAAATAAAGTTATCCCTAAACTGTCTGCCAAGCAATCTTAGAAGACATGTAGAGAGCTTGAATGAAATCTGTGCTTCCAAGAAGGAAGCATGTGATGAGCATAGACAGTTCTATTCAAAGCCTTGAGGACAAAACAATATCCTCCAGGATTCTGCTTTCCCCTAACACCCAGATGGCAGGACTAATACCAGACTCCTGGAAGAGGATTTGGAAAGTGCTGGAAAACAGAAAAAAAAAATTACCCTTGATCCAATTATCCAGTAATAACCTTTGTTGATGTTTAGTAAATTTCTTTGTTTTTTGTTTTGTTTTCAATATATGTGTCTATAGACACTTTGGTTCTCTCTATTCCTGAGGCCACAGAACAAATACCCACTTCAATCAAGCTCATTGGGCCTTGCCTTTTTTTTAGTAAAGTTTTTACTGAAGTATAACATACATACACAAAAATTCACACACAAATCCAGTGTACAGATTGATTACTTTCTACAAAAATAACTTACCTGTGCAACCAGCACCTGGATAAAAAAACAGTATTTTACCAATGGCCTAGAAGTCTTCCTTGAGCATATTTTTAGTTATTACCTTCCCTCCAAAGGTAAGCATATGCATACTTCTCACACTAGATTATATTTTTGCCTGTTTTGGAACTTTGCACAAATGTAATCATCCAGTATATGTTTTTTGTTTGTTGGGCTTCTTTTGCTCAATGGTAAGTTTATGCAATTCATCTATGTTGCTGCAGGAAGCAATAGACAGTGTATCCTCAGGTAGTATTACATTTTATGAATATACTACAATTTGTCAATTCATTCTACTGTTGGTTGACATTTGGGTTGTTTTCAACTTTTGGCTACTATTGAGACAGCAGGCTAGTTGATTCCCTATTTTAAGATGATCTGGAGGAAAAGGACAAAAGCCCCTCACTCAAGCTCTAGCTTATCTAATTCTCAGCCAGTCAGTAACAAAAGACCCAAGAAGCTATTAATGTCAAGCTCCTATTTCAGGGGGCTAGGGACTTCCTCAGAGCCCTGCATGCGCAGTTAGGCTTAAAACTCTAACCTAAAGTTACTCCTTCCTCATTTTCATGCTAAAATTCATGCCTAGAGGTGGAAATTTAAAATGTTAATGCTACATACAATGTATGAAGCAGCATGCTGAGCCACTGCACACGTACTAGAAAAAACCCTCCTATACATGTCCTCATGGAAGCCCTACTTATAGAAAGATGCTATAAAACTAACCTACACACCACCCTGGGGAGCAGCCCATTCCTTTTCCCTTATCAGTGCTGGCTCCCTTGTGCACAAGCTGAAATAAACTTTCCTTTGCTGTAATGTTTGGTGATTTCTCTTGATTTCTCTTCTGGGAGATTGCAAGAATCCAGGGTGGTGGTAACATGACAGTTAGTACTGCTCTAAAAATTCTTGAACATGTCTTTTAATGCATATATATATATATATATATACGCATTTCTATTAATACCTAGGAGTAGAACTGCAGGGTCATAGAATATGTTTATGTTCACCTTTTAGTAGATTCTGCCAAATAGTTTTCCATTGTATCCATTTATGCTCCCATTAGAAAATCAATTGCTCCACATTCTCTCCAACACCTCATATTGCCTATCTTTTTGATGTTAACAATTCAGGTGGGATGTATTTCATCCCAGTATAATGCATTTCTCTGATGCCTTTTCTTATGTCTATTGAACACTTGATTATTTTCTTTTGTGAAGTTACTATCCAAATTTGTGGCCCATTTTTCTATTGGATTATCTATCTTTTCACCATTTTTTACTAGTAATTTGCTGGATATAAGTAAATCAAATATCAAGGCCGGGCGCCGTGGCTCATGCCTGTAATTCCAGCACTTTGGGAGGCTGAGGCGGGCGGATCACCTGAGGTCAGGTGTTCGACGCCAGCCTGACCAACATGCAGAAACCCCGTCTCTACTAAAAATACAAAAATTAGCCAGGCATGGTGGCGCGGGCCTGTAATCCCAGCTACTTGGGAGGCTGAGGCAGGAGAATTGATTGAACCCGGGAGGCAGAGGTTGCAGTGAGCCGAGATCGTGCCATTGCACTCCAGCCTGGGCAAGAAGAGCGAAACTCTGTCTCAAAAAAAAAAAAAAAAGTATATCAAATATCTTCTGTTACACTATGACCTGCCTCTTCACTCTCTTAGTGGTATCTTTTAATGAACTGAATTTAATAATTTTAATAAAACCCAATTTATCAATTTTTTGCTTTATGATTAATAGATTTGTGTCATATTTTAAAAATCTCAGCTCTCCTCAAGGATATGATCATATTCTGTTTTTTTCCCTAAAAACTTTGGTGTTTTATTTTTCACTACTTTTGTTTTTTATCTTTTGTTTTTTGAGATGGAGTCTCACTCTGTCACCCAGGCTGCTGTGCAGTGGCACAATCTCTGCTCACTGCAACCTCTGCCTCCTGGGTTCAAGCAATCCTCCGGCCTCAGCCTCCCAAGTAGCTGGGATTATAGGAATATACCACCACACCTGGCTAATTTTTGTATTTTTAGTACAGATGGGGTTTCACCATGTTGCTCAGGCTGGCCTTGAACTCCTGACCTCAAGTGACCCACCTGCCTCAGCCTCCCAAAATGCTGGGATTACAGGCATGGGCACCATGCCCAGCCCTTTCACATTTAGATCTGCAATCCAATTCAAATGATTTTTATATATGGTATGATGTAGGAGTCAATATTTATTACTTCCACATGAATATTTAGTTGACCAGACCATTTACTAAAATATTTTTCCTTTCCCCACTACACTCAATGTCATACTATAAATGAGTGATCCTATATGTGTGGACCAAGACAATGTCTTTTAAGCAACCCCTTCGCAAATATGCATCTGCCTGAGACTTCTCAAATGTTTGGCCAGCTCAGAGCAAGGAATTGGGTCCCTAAATCTGTTTCCTTCCCTGTGCTCAGGTAATAGTTGATAATATAGAATCATTTTTTTAAATATCCTGAACTTAAGACACTAAAACTGTCAGCTTAGCCTACCACGAAGAAATCGAAGTGGCACTTAGTAAAGTCTTGACATATGTAGCTATTATTATCACTGTAATAACCAACTTGGTTTCTCCTTAATCCCAAAACCATCTCAGTCTCCTACAAGTGATTCTTTGTCCCAGGCCTACTCTACTCAAATTCACCTAGACTGATTTTTAATTAATACTAGATAAGTAGCTATTCACTTCCCTATGATTTGTTCCCTAAAATTATACATCTAATCCATATCCATAAAACACTAAAATTTCACAGTCCCTGATAAAATAGAACCATCAAATTAAGGATGTTTGTCATGACCAATCTGATTTCAGATTGAGGAAGGAAATACAGGTATCTATTGGGGTAAGGCAGATGGCAGGTTATTGTTCACACCTAAATATGCCCAAGGTATAGGAGATCACTCATTTCTTTCATGTAAAGTGTGCTAGGGTCTGTGATCACAATGTAAGTCCCACTGTAACATTTGGGATTGCCTCAGGGACGGTGGCTTCCCACAGGACCAAGCAGTGAGAAATAACGGACAATTCTCTTTGGCTCAAATTTAGATTAAAATGTAATTCTTTTTAAAATAAAATACAAGACTAACCCAATCAAATTATTATTATTTTATTATACCGTAGGTTTTGGGGATACATGTGCAGAATCTGCGGGTTTGTTACACAGGTATACGCAAGCCATGGTGGTTTGCTGCACCCATTAACCCATTATCTACATTAGGTATTTCTCCTAATGCTATCCCTCCCCTAGCCCCCCATCCCCTGACAGGCCGGTGTGTGATGTTCCCCTCCCTGTGTCCATGTGTTCTCACTGTTCGACTCCCATTTATGAGTGAGAACATGCAGTGTTTGATTTTCTGTTGCTGTGTTAGTTTGCTGAGAATGATGGTTTCCAGCTTCATCCATGTCCCTGCAAAAGACATGAACTCATCCTTTTTATGGCTGCATAGTATTCCATGGTGTATATGGGCCACATTTTCTTTATCCAGTCTATCATTGATGGGCATTTGGGTTGGTTCCAAGTCTTTGCTATTGTGAACAGTGCTGCAATAAACGTATGTGTGCATGTGTCTTTATAGTAGAATGATTTATAATCCTTTGGGTATATACCCAGTAATGGGATTGCTGAGTCAAATGGTATTTCTGGCTCTAGATCCTTGAGGAATCATCACGCTGTCTTCCAAAATGGTTGAACTAATTTACACTCCCACCAACAGTGTAAAAGCATTCCTATTTCTCCACATCGTCTCCAGCATCTGTTGTTTCCTGACTTTTTAATAATTGCCATTCTAACTGGCATGAGATGGTATCTCATCATAGTTTTGATTTGCATTTCTCTAATTACCAGTGATGATGAGTTTTTTTTTCATATGTTTGTTGGCTGCATAAATGTCTTCTTTTGAGAAGTGTCTGTTCATATCCTTCGCCCACTTTTTGATGGGGTTTTTTTTTTCTTGTAAATTTGTTTAAGTTCCTTGTAGTTTCTGGATATTAGCTCTTTGTCAGATGGATAGATTGCAAAAATTTTCTCCCATTCTGTAGGTTGCTTGTTCACTCTAATGAATAGAATCTTTTGTGGTGCAGAAGCTCTTTAGTTTAATTAGATCCCATTTGTGAATTTTGGCTTTTGTTGCCATTGCTTTTTGTGTTTTAGTCAGGAAGTCTTTGCCCATGCCTATGTCCTGAATGGTATTTCGTAGGTTTTCTTCTTGGGTTTTTATGATTTTAGGTCTTACATTTAAATCTTTAATCCATCTTGAGTTAGTTTTTGTATAAGGTGTAAGGAAGGAGTCCAGTTTCAGTTTTCCGCATATGGCTAGCCTGTTTTCCTAACACTATTTATTAAATATGGAATACTTTCCCCATTACTTATTTTTGTCAGGTTTTTCAAACATAAGATTGTTGTAGATGTGTGGTGTTATTTCTGAGGCCCCTGTTTGTTCCATTGGTCTATATATCTGTTTTGGTACCAGTACCATGCTGTTTTGGTTACTGTAGCCTTGTAGTATAGTTTGAAGTCAGGTAGCGCGATGCCTCCAGCTTTGATCTTTTTGTTTAGAATTGTCTTGGCTATACAGGCTCTTTTTTGGTTCCATATGAAATTTAAAGTAGTTTTTTCTTTTTTTATTATTATTATTATACTTTAAGTTTTCGGGTACATGTGCACAATGTGCAAGTTAGTTACATACGTATACATGTGCCATGCTGGTGTGCTGCACCCATTAACTTGTCATTTAGCATTAGGTGTACCTCCTAATGCTATCCCTCCCCCCTCCCCCCAAGTTTTTTCTAATTCTGTGAAGAAAGTCAATGGTAGCTTGATGGGGATAGCACTGAATGTATAAATTACTTTGGGCAGTATGGCCATTTTTATGATATTGGTTCTTCCTATCCATGAGCATGGAATGTTTTTCCATTTGTTTGTGCCCTCTCTTATTTCCTTGAGCAGTGGTTTGTAGTTCTCCTTGAAGAGGTCCTTCACATCCCTTGTAAGTTGTATTCCTAGGTATTTTATTCTCTTTGTAGCTATTGTGAACAAAAGTTCACTCACGATTTGGCTCTCTGTTTGTCTATTATTGGTGTATAGGAATGCTTGTGATTTTTGCACATTGATTTTGTATCCTGAGACTTTGCTGAAGTTGCTTATCAGCTTAAGGAGATTTTGGGCTGAGACAATGGGGTTTTCTAAATATAAAATCATGTCATCTGCAAACAGAGACAATTTGACTTCCTCTTTTCCTATTTGAATACCCTTTATTCCTTTCTCTTGCCTGATTGCCCTGGCCACAACTTCCAATACTATGCTGAATAGGAGTGGTGAGAGAGGGCATCCTTGTCTTGTGCCAGTCTTCAAAGGGAATGCTTCCAGTTTTTGCCCATTCAGTATGATATTGGCTGTGGGTTTTTCATAAACAGCTCTTATTATTTTGAGGATATGTTCCATTAATACCTAGTTTATTGAGAGTTTTTAGCATGAAGGGGTGTTAAATTTTATTGAAGGCTTTTGTGCATCTATTGAGATAATGATGTGGTTTCTGTCATTGGTTCTGTTTATGTGATGGATTATGTTTATTGATTTGTGTATGTTGAAACAGCCTTGCATTCCAGGGATGAAGCTGACTTGATTGTGGTGGATAAGCTTTTCGATGTGCTGCTGGATTCAGTTTGCCAGTACTTTATTGAGGATTTTCACATTGATGTTCATCAGGGATACTGGCCTGAAATTTTCTTTTTTTGTTGTGTCTCTGCCAGGTTTTGGTATCAGGGTGATGCTGGCCTCATAAAATGAGTTAGGGAGGAGTCTCTCTTTTTCTATTGTCTGGAATAGTTTCAGAAGGAATGGTACCAGCTCCTCTTTGTATCTGTGGTAGAATTTGGCTATGAATCCGTCTGGTCCTGGGCTTTTTTTTTTGGTTGGTAGGCTATTAATTACTGCTTCAATTTCAGAACTTGTTATTGGTCTGTTTGGGGATTTGACTTCTTCCTGGTTTAGTCTTGGGAGGGTGGATGTGTCCAGGAATTTATCCATTTCTTCTAGATTTTCTAGTTTATTTGCATAGAGGTGTTTATAATGTTCTCTGATGGTAGTTTGTATTTCTGCAGGATCAGTGGTTATCTCCCATTTATCATTTTTTATTGTGTCTATTTGATTCTTCTCTCTTTTCTTCTTTGTTAGTCTGGTTAGCGGTCTATCTATCTTGTTGATCTTTTCAAAAAACCAGCTCCTGGATTCATTGATTTTTTGAAGAGTTTTTCATGTCTCTATCTCCTTCAGTTCTGCTCTGATCTTAGTTATTTCTTGTCTTCTGCTAGCTTTTGAATTTGTTTGCTCTTGCTTCTCTAGTTCTTTTTATTGTTATATTAGGATGTCAATTTTAGATCCTTCCTGCTTTCTTCTGTGGGCATTTAATGCTATAAATTTCCCTCTAAACACTGTGTCCCAGAGATTCTGTGTGCCAGAGATTAGCTGTGTCCCAGAGATTCTGGTACGTTGTGTCTTTGTCATGGATTTCAAAGAGCTTATTTATTTCTGCCTTAATTTCATTATTTACCCAGTAGTCATTCAGGAGTAGGTTGTTCAGTTTCCATGTAGTTGTGTGGTTTTGAGTGAGTTTCTTAATCCTGAGTTCTAATTTGATTGCATTATGGTCTGAGAGACCGTTTATTATGATTTCCATTCTTTTGCATTTGCTGAGGAGTGTTTTACTTCCAATTATGTGGTCAGTTTTAGAATAAGTGTGATATGGTGCTAAGAAGAATGTATATTCTGTTGATTTGGGGTAGAGAGTTCTATAGATGTCTATTAGGTCTGCTTGGTCCAGAGCTGAGTTCAAGTCCTGAATATTCTTGTTAATTTTCTGTCTCATTGATCAGTGGGGTGTTAAATTCTCCCACTATTATTTTGTGGGTGTCCAAGTCTCTTTGTAGGTCTCTAAGAACTTGCTTTATGAATCTGAGTGCTCCTGTATTGGATGCATATATATTTAGGATAGTTAGGTCTTCCTGTTGCATTGATCCCTTTACCATTATGTAATGCCCTTCTTTGTGTTTTTTGATCTGTGTTGGCTTAAAGTCTATTTTATCAGATACTAGGATTGCAAACCCTGCTTTTTTTTTTGCTTTCCATTTGCTTGGTAAATATTCCTCCATCCCTTTATTTTAGCCTATGTGTGTCTTTACATGTGAGATGGGTCTCCTGAATACAGCACACCGATGGGTCTTGACTTTTTATCCAATTTGCCAGTCTGTTTCTTTTAATTGGGGCATTTAGCCCCTTTACATTTAAAGTTAATATTGTTATGTGTGAATTTGATCCTGTCATTATGATGCTAGCTGGTTATTTTGCCCATTAGTTGATGCAGTTTCTTCATAGTGTAGATGTTCTTTACAATTTGGTATGTTTTTGCAGTGGCTGGTAGCGGTTTTTCCTTCCATATTTAGTGTTTCCTTCGGGAGCTCTTTTAGGGCAGGCCTGGTGGTGACAAAATCTCTCAGCATTTGCTTGTCTGTAAAGGATTTATTTCTCCTTCGCTTATGAAGCTTAGTTTGGCTGGATATGAAATTCCAGGTTGAAAATTCTTTTCTTTAAGAATGTTGAATATTGGCCCCCACTCTCTTCTGGTTTGTAGGGTTTCTGCAGAGACATCCACTGTTAGTCTGATGAGCTTCCCTTTGTGGGTAACCCAACCTTTCTCTCTGGCTGCCCTTAACATTTTTTCCTTCATTTCAACCTTGGTGAATCTGATGATTATGTGTCTTGGGGTTGCTCTTCTCAACGAGTATCTTTGTGGTGTTCTCTGTATTTCCTGAATTTAAATGTTGGCCTGTCTTGCTAGGTTGATGAAGTTCTCCTGGATAATATCCTGAAGAGTGTTTTCCAACTTGGTTCCATTCTCCCCGTCACTTTCAGGTACACCAATCAAACATAGATTTGGTCTTTTCACATAGTCCCATATATTTTGGAGGCTTTGTTCATTCCTTTTTCTCTAATCTTGTCTTCATGCTTTGTTTCATTAAGTTGATCTTCAATCTCTGATAACCTTTCTTCCACTTGATCGATTTGGCTATTGATACTTGTGTATGCTTCACAAAGTTCTCGTGCTGTGTTTTTCAGCTCCATCAGGTCATTTATGTTCTTCTCTAAACTGGTTATTCTAGTTAGCAGTGCCTCTAACCTTTTGTCAAGGTTCTTAGCTTCCTTGCATTGGGTCAGAACATGCTTCTTTAGCTCAGAGGAGGCTTCTGAAGCCTACTTCTGTTCATTCATCAAACTCATTATCCGTCTACTTTTGTTCCCTTGCTGGGGAGGAGTTGTGATCCTTTGGAGGAGAAGAGACGTTCTGGTTTTTGGAAATTTCAGGCTTTTCGCACTGGTTTTTCCTTATCTTCGTGGGTTTATCTATCTTTGGTCTTTGATGTTGGTGACCTTTGGATGGGGTTTCTGTGTGGACGTCCTTTTTGTTGATGTTGATGCTATTCCTTTCTGTTTGTTAGTTTTCTTTCTATCAGTCAGGCCTCTCTGCTGCAGGTCTGCTGGAGTTTGCTGGAGGTCCATTCCAGACACTGTTTGCCTGGGTATCACCAGTGGAGGCTGCAGAACAGCACAGATTGCTGCCTGTTCCTTTCTCTGGAAGCTTCATTCCAGAGGGGCACCTGCCAGATGCCAGCCAGAGCTCTCCTGTATGAGGTGTCTGTCGACCCCTGTTGGGAGGTGTCTCCCAGTCAGGAGGCACAGGGGTCAGGGACCCACTTGAGGAGGCAGTCTGTCCCTTAGCAGAGCTCGAGCACTGTGCTGGGAGATCTTCTGCCCTCTTCAGAGCAAGCAGGCAGGAACGTTTAAGTCTGCTGAAGCTGTGCCTTCAGCTGCCCCTTTCCCCAGGGAGATGGGAGTTTTATCTATAAGCTCCTGACTGGGGCTGCTGCCTTTCTTTCAGAGGTGGCCTGCCCTGAGAGTAGGAATCTAGAGAGGCAATCTGGCTACAGTGGCTTTGCTGAGCTGCGGTGGGCTCCACCCAGTTCGAACTTTGTTTACACTGTGAGGGGAAAACTGCCTACTCAAGCCTCAATAATGGTGGATGCCCCTCCCCCCACCAAGCTCAAGCATCCCAGGTCGACTTCAGACTGCTGTACTGGCAGTGAGAATTTCAAGCCAGTGGATCTTAGCTTGCTGGGCTTCGGGGGTGAGAGCCACTGAGCTAGACCACTTGGCTCCCTGGCTTCAGCCTTGTTTCCAGGAAAGTGAACAGTTCTGTCTCACTGGCATTATAGGTGCCACCGGAATATGGAAAAAAAAAACAAAACCCTGCAGCTAGCTCAGTGTCTGCCCAAATGGCTGCCCAGTTTTGTGCATGAAACCCAGGGACCTGGTGGTGTAGGCACCCAAGGGAATCTCCTGGTCTGCTAGTGGCAAAAACTGTGGGAAAAGCATAGTATCTGGGCCAGAATGCACTGTTCCTTACAGCACAGTCCCTCATGGCTTCCCTTGGCTAGGGGAGGGAGTTGCCTGACCCATTGTGCTTCTGGCATCAGGCGATGCCCCACTCTACTTTGGCTCATCCTCAGTGGGCTGCACCCACTGTCTAACCAGTCCCAATGAGATGAGCCATGTACCTCAGTTGGAAATGCAGAAATCACCTGCCTTCTGGGTCAATCTTGCTGGGAGCCATAGACTGGAGCTGTTCCTATTCGGCCATCTTGCCAGCCCAGATCCAGCCGAATTATTTTAAGTATGAGAGAGGGCTCAGCCTCCTGGAAAAATTCTAGATCTGGGTGTGTTGAATACATTTTCCTGTGCCAGAAACTATAGACCCATGGATTTCATGAAGTAGATCTATTTCTAAAAGGAAAGATGAAGACAAATTCAGTAAAAACAGCTAACTTTTATTACCCACCTCTCATATATGCCAGACACTGGTGTGTACACATCAACTGCTTTATATAAATGTATCATGCAGTCCTCAGGCATACCCTAAAAGGTAGATCCTATTGTCCCCGTATTACAGTTGAAGAAACTAAGGTGACTCCACAGATCCACATCACCCATACAGGAATGGAACTAGTTGGTGAGTTGGTCAAAGAAGGATTCTCAAAGGAGAGTTCTTAAGAATAACAAGACAGTGAGATCAGAGAATCTGAGGGTCTACTCGACAAGAGTGATTACTTCTCTGAAACTGGGTAGGAATGGATTTAATTCAACCAAGTAATGTGGAGTGGAGCAGATCTCCTCAAGGAAAAGAGTCCATGTTGGTAGAAGCCTATATAGGACCCCAGTGCTAGATTTGAGGATGGAAATGGTGTTGTGATCTTGTAGGGATTCTCATCCCCCAGAGTGGCATCCAACCCTCTTCTGAAGGGATGAACAAAATATCTCAGTAACTTAGCCAATGTCCCTGGCATAAAGACTTTCCTTAGCATACTGGAGAGCCCCATGTCCTATGAGCAGACAGACAGACAAAGAAGAGAGTTGAGAGCAGCCACTGCACAGGAGACCCATGGTGTCTACCTGCCAAGAAGGGAAGGAAAACATCTTTGGGAGAATGATGAATCCAAGCTGGCTTAATGTGGAGCCAAGACACTGGCTGCAGATTCTGTGCTTTGAAACTTCCTGTAAATATTTATTGAGAGATTTGTCAGCATCTCACCAGATCAGGCTCGGAGAGCCTCTACCTGGAGAATCCCTTCCAAGGTTCAACTTCTCCTGGGCAGGCAGCTGGAATAGTTTTCCCCCAAATTTCTCATTTAAGAACCAGATGGTAAGGGATATTAACAAGCAGCATTGTTTCAGCATATCAAATATTCCAACTGCAAAATGGGACTTGTTTCTCTGGAGACAATGAATTGAGTTCACCCCATCTTCTATAATAAGGTTCTGTGGAGAACCATCCTTAATAAATCAGGAATACTGATGAAGTGGTCCAACAGGCTGATGCTAGGAAAACTGGTAGGGAAGGATGGCTTTCATTCTTCCATGTTCATAAAGCAAACTCTTCCAGTGTTTACATTCCTGACTCCCCTCTTTCTGAACATCGCAAATACAGGTGGGGAAGTGGGAGTGGAGGATGGGTGAGAGGGAAACAATGGGACGAACAGGAGGGAGAGAGAGGGAGCAGGAGATGAGAGCAAACAGGGTAAAATTCCAAATAAAAGAGAAATTTCATGGTTAAATAATGCTTAAATCTGTCAGTTAAGTTAAAAATAAGCCATTAACAAATTAAAAAGAAATTATGAGATAAATTATGCTTATTTTAAAATTAGATTTGAAAAGGGATATTGAACAACTGAAAGCAGCAAGTCAAAAAAGAGTAAAGACTAGACCTAAATATTCCAAATTAAGATTTGAATTTGATGAAAGCAAAATAAAATAAATATTTATAATTTTTTAAAAGGCTGAGGGCTAGAGAAATAAGATGAAAACTTTGAAATGGAAAGCTATACCATTAAGATGGAGCTAAAACCCAAATTTTTTTAAAAAAAGAAAAAAATTTGGCTAAATTTAATTTTAGAAGTGAAAGAAAGTTAAAAAAAAAAAAAGGGAACTTATAAAAACAAAAACTCAAAACAACAACAACCTGCCCAGCGAGGTCAGACAAGAGAAGCTAGGAAAGAGGAAATTCTTTGGACAGCCAGACTTTCCTCATAAAAAATTTTCCTGAGGCATATCCCTGGTGGTAGGTTTTTTTTGGCTGGTTATGTCTTCATTTATGCATACCTCCATTCATTCATTCCATAAATATTTATTGTGCCAAGACCTGGGAATTCAATGTAAGTAAAGCAGTAAACTTTGCCCCCCATGAAACCTATGGTCCAGTAGCAACATATTGTGATGGGAGAGAAGACAGACATTACACAAATGATTACACAGGCAAATTATTAATTACAACCTGTAGTGAGAGTTATGAAGAAACAACCCAGGGGGCTCTAGGGAGTAACTGGCCTGGCTATTGATTGTATGTAGGTTGGGGATGCTCAGGGAATGTGTAGGTAGGCGGACACCAAGAAAGTCTCTCTGCAAACATATTTGTCCTGAGATCTGAAAGATACATAAGGAATTAACAGAGGCAAAGTAGGGGTGGAGCTGGCCAACATATGTCAAGGGACTGAAACAGGAAGGCTTTCGTGCATTTGAGGAACTAAAAGAAGGCTGTGGGCCGGGTGCGGTGGCTCATGCCTGTAATCCCAGCACTTTGGGAGGCCTACGTGGGCGGATCACGAGGTCAGGAGATCGAGACCATACTGGCCAACATGGTGAAACCCTGTCTCTACTAAAAATACAAAAATTAGCTGGGCATGGTGGCGCGTGCCTGTAATCCCAGCCACTCGGGAGCCTGAGGCAGAATTGCTTGAACCTGGGAGGCAGAGGTTACAGTGAGCCGATATGCACCACTGCACTCCAGCCTGGCAACAGAGAGAGACTCTGTTTTAAAAGAAAAAAAAAAAAAAAAAAGGCTGTGGCTGGAACAGATAGACCTAGCAGGGAAGAAGTATAAGATGTGGTTGAAATGGATGGTAAGGGCCATATTAAGAATTTGGTTTTTATCCTAGGATAATGGGAAACCATTTGTTTGTTTCCTTCATGGCACTAAAACAACTAAAAAGCGTTTCATTTATTTGTCTGTTTACTTTTTTGGGGGGAAGGGTGGGGAGTCCCCTTCCTTAGGGGCAGAGACCATATCTGTCTTGAGCATCATTGTATTCCCAGCACCTACACAGTGGAGAAGTGTAAATATTTTGAATAAATTAATAGCAAGTAATTTTGGAAGGGCCATGACCAAAGTCCAATTCTCCTCCAAAACCTATGCTTCTTTCAGGATGCTTATTACTACCTTAACAGTTTGCTTTGGGTCTATCTGCTTATAAAAATGGTACATGCTGGATGTCTCTCTCAACACTTTTGCTATTCTTAACATTGCAGGTGGCTGGACGCGGTGGCTCATGCCTGTAATCCCAGCGCTTTGAGAGGCAGAGGCGGGCAGGTCACCTGAGGTCAGGAGTTTGAGACCAGCCTGACCAACATGGGGAAACCCCATCACTAATAAAAATACAAAAAAAATTATCCAGGCATGGTGGCACGTGCCTGTAATTCTAGCTACTTGGGAGGCTGAGGCAGGAGAATCGCTTGAACCTGGGAGGTGGAGGTTGCAGTGAGCCGAGATTGCACCATTGCACTCCAGCCTGGGCAACAAGAGCAAAACTGCGCCTCAAAAACAAAAACAAAACCAAAAAACATTGCAGGTTAGCCTCTGAAGTATTGGTTACTTTTCCAAGTTTTGAGAATTACTAACAGTTAGTGACAGCCTTCCATGATAGTAGACAGCCGTCATTGCTGGTTATTGGTGACAGATTGTGCAAGTGGAGGAAGGAGATGATTGTTGTCTGTTCATGTGCCCTGACATTCTGTTCCTGAAGAACTAACACATGCAGTGATGAACAGCTTTCCCACCAACAATTTTCAACAAGTCTCAGAGAAATCTTAGTAACACTTCGAGTCTTATTAAATTTTCCCTCAGGCAGTGGCGCACCTAGTGGATTTGACACCTGGAGCAGATCAGTTTCTAACACCTTCACGTTGTATAAAGCAAGGTTATTTTTAGTAATAGTCATGTAATAATCAGGAATGTTACTTTTTTCTTGAGTTTTTCTTTAGTTTTGAAATAAATAACAATGTTAAAAGAGGAATAAATTTCAGTTTTGGAAACATTATTTTAAATTAAATAGTCTATGTCATGCATTGAACTAAAATTTGCACTTACCAAACAAAAATATCACACTTTGCATTTTGCACTCTTTATCACTATTTTGAATTTTTTTTTTTTTTTTTTGTAACAGAGTCTTGCTCTGTCGCCCAGGCTGGAGTGCAGTACTGTGATCTCAGCTCACTGCAACCTCCGCCTCCCAGGTTCAAGCGATTCTCCTGCCTCAGCCTCCTGAGTAGCTGGGATTACAGGTGCCCACCACCACACCTGGCTAATTTTTTTTTTTTTTTTTTTTTTTTTAGTAGAGACGGGGTTTCACCGTGTTGGCCAGTCTGGTTTCGAATTCCTGACTTCAAGTGATCTGCCCGCCTCAGACTCCCAAAGTTCTGGGACTACAGGCATGAGCCACTGCACCCGGTTTGAATTTTAGATAGAAGTAAAAAATTCAGAGTGGTCACAGAGAATGTCAGAATTGAAGTCAGTCAGGTCTGGTTTCATTATTTTTAAATTCTTTATACTATGTTTGTTTCAAATCTACTTTTTTAAATGAGGAATATGTAGTAACACAGGGGTTGAGGATTCTTAATTGCCTCTGAAATAAGCTCAAATGATTCTGAGCTGTTAGGAAAGTACTCTCACAAGGCTCTTTGTAGCTGATTCTATGTGGGGTAGGGAGTGTTGGGTGGGTCGGGGGCTGTAGGTGCAGGGTTGGGGTGGGGCATGTGGAGATGGGCAGCAGCTGTGAGTTGCTCTGGATTAACTTTCATATAAAATACAATGCTATGAAAGGATAAGAATAAGTATGCTAATTTGAAACTGATATACATTTAAACTTCACAGTACCCACAGCAATTGTTTAAAACTTAAACAAACAAAATATTTTTTGGGTAAAAAGTATTTTATCACTGACACTGTTTAGAATTGCTGATAGGTGATCATAAAAAACAGACCAACTTTTTGAATTTATTATTCAAATTATTATTCTCATTAAATCCTCTGTACAGAAAATGTACTCTTTTACTGCCTCAGGAAGACTGCCCTACTGTGAGGCCGTTGGTATGCCACTACCCCCAAAGACTATAAACAGTTAAAACATATGCCAGGTTTGGTGGCTCACACCTATAATCCCAGCACTTTTGGAGGCCGAGGCAGGAGGATCGCTTGAGGCCAGGAGTTCAAGACCAGCCTGGGCAACATAGCGGGACCCTGTCTCTAAAAATTTTTAAAAATTAACCAGGTGTCATGGCGTGTGCCTGTAGTCCCAGCTACTTGAAAGGCTGAGGCAGAAGGATCACTTGAGTCCATGAGGTTGAGGCTGCAATGAGCCATTATCAGGCCTCCAGCCTGGGTGACAAAGTAAGACCTTGTCTGGAACACAAAAACACAATAAAACAAAAAACCCAAAACCAGTTAACACAACAACAAAGCTCCATCAAAAATGTTACATGTTATTTGAAAAGTAAAGAGCTTTCCCAACGTCCACTCTGGCTTTTAACAATTTCTAAAATGAAGCCTGCCCTCTGTAGAAACTGCTCAGCTTCACCCAAAATAACCTAACATTCTATGTATTTCCCGAATAAAACTAATAAATCAAAGACCAAACAAACAAACAAACAAAAAAAGAAAATACTTTTTATAAATTACTTTTCTAAATAATGTACTTTGGGAAATAATGGAAAATCTCCAATAATCATCTATGTATGTATGTATGTATGTATGTATGTATGTATGTATGTATTTATTTATTTATTTATTTATTTATTTATTTATTTATTTAGAGATAGAGTCTCTGTAGCCCAGGCTGGAGTGCAGTGGTGCAATCTTGACTCACTGCAACCTCCGCCTTCCTGGTAGCTGGGACCACAGGCGTGTACCACCACACCCAGCTAATTTTTGTATTTTTAGTAGACACGGGGTTTCACCATGTTGCCCAGGCTGGTCTTGAACTCCTGACCTCAAGTAATCCTCCCGTCTTGGCCTCCCAAAGTGCTAGGATTACAGGCATAAGCCACTTCACCCGGCCCAGTCCTCTATTTTAAAAAGCACTTTGACAAACGTCTTTATGAGCTTATTCTCTTATTTCTTAAAGACTAACTCTTAAATGTGGAGTTGCTGGGTCAAAGTACACACATTTTTTAGCCTGGTGTGATGGCTCACACCTGTAATCCCAGCACTTTGGGAGGCTGAGGCGGTTGGATCACCTAAGGTCAGGAGTTCAAGACCACCCTGGACAACATGGTGAAACCCTGTCTCTACTAAAAATACAAAAATTAGCCAGGCGTGGTGGTGCACACCTGTAGTCCCAGCTACTCATGAGGCTGAGGCAGGAGAATTGCTTGAACCTGGGAGGCGGATGTTGCAGTGAGCAGAGATAGCGCCACTGCACTCCAGCCAGGGTGACAGAGTGAGACTCCATCTCAAAAAGAAAAAAAAAAGTACTCTCTATTAACAGGACCTCAAACTCAAACTAATACATTGGTTTCATGATATTATGGATTAAATAGTGCCTTAATGTGAACTTCAGGTTATATATTATATATAATACTATATAAAATATATAAATTTCAGCTTATATATATATGAAGCTGTGAATTTCAGCTTTATATTTATATTTATGCATGCAAATAATATGGTTTACATGGAGAAACATAAGTTCTACATAACCAAGTTTTCAATAAATAACCAAAACAACTGAAAAACCAAATAAATGCCAGAATCCATAAAAAGGGCTTAGAACAGTACCTAGCATAGTAAGGGCTGAAGAAATGCCAGCTATTTTTATGCTTGGCTATCATCACAGTTATGATTACAAGTCTCATTGCAAAGGTCATGAGCACAGGGAGATCATTTACTGGGGCCATCCATGCAATGTATCATCAATGACCCTAGTAGTTTGGAATTCTTTAGGACTGCTATCTGGAATAAACAGGGATTCTCTTGCTAAGGAGGACAGGGAGAATGGACACTGGAGCTGTCAGCTAGTGACATTGCCACATGTGGTGCAAATCCCACACCAGGGCTTGCACCACTAGTGAGGACTTAGGTGCTTTGCCTCTGGGATAGGCAGAGCTGCTGGGAATGGGACTTCTCACCCATGGTGTGTACCCAGGTGGTACCTTATTTTACTTTCTGAGCCTGGGTTTTCTCACATGCAAATAGAGATAATAATAATGCTTGGTTCTTCGTAGCATTGTTGTGAGAATTAAATGAGACACAAAGCAGCTTAGCATGGCACCTGGCCCATAGCAGGGACCCAGAAAATATTGGTAATTATTATGCATCCGGTTGGGCTGAACTTCGTGGCGTTTATTTTTTGCCCAGATTAACCAATTTATCTTTCCCACAATTTACAAAAAAGGAACATGCCCTAGAAACAGGTCAGTTCATGGTGAGGCACAATTATCTAAGAAGGTCACCTTTAAAAGTATTTGAATAAAACTTGGTATCTGTAGGTACAGAGACTGGTCTTTTGCCATCTGTCTCCATAGCTGTCATTTATTTTTTCCCCCTTTTGTATAACTGGGCTATTTCATTAGACTTAATGCCCACTGAAAGTAACAGCTGCCAAGTGCTATTGTTGCTTCACATGGTTCTTGACAGCATTGTGAGCTCATTTTTTCACCTGCTGCCAAGCTAAAGAATGATCAGAATTTGCTTTTTGTTTTGTTCCAGCCTTGGTGTTTATAAATATGAAAAGAGGCGTAGTGTAGATTCAGGGCGAAGTCAGTTTTTTAAATGATGTGAAGGCTGACTTTGCATGCGAATGAGAAATTGTGGGCAGGATGCCTGGCAAAGGAGGCCAGGCAGGGAGGTGTCACCACTGGCTTGGTTGCCTGGTCCTGTGAAACACCTCTGTCCATAAGTAAGCTCTTGGGTATCTGACACCCTCCGGAAATACCCCTAAACTCTAGGACCTCAGCAAGGAGGAACTTACAGAGCCCAGTTGGCTCTGCAAGAAGTCAACCATCTCCTAGTTCTGCTCTAACTTTAGGTACTGGTTCTAGCAATGTAACTGAGTCCTAATATTACTCCTCTGACCTTAGATTTCCCCTGATATTCCAGTTCTTCTTCCAAGATTGAGTGCTGGCCAGGGCCCTATCCCTTCAAACAGGGACAGGGATCCTACTCTTGACCGTCAGCTCTGTGGCTGGGACCTTGCTAATTCATGCCAGAATTTTCTGATGCCACCAGTGGTTTGCCACAAAATTCTGTGTTATTGTATTCTTCCTAATTTCCTGAACCTACACCTCTTGATGACTGGTTTAGGTAACCGCCCATCACCTGTCTCTTCCTTACACTCACTAGAGCTGTGTTTAGCCAGCCTGCCTGAAAGCCCATTCCAATTTGGTTCAGCACCATGGACCAGGAGTAGTTATAGGTCCTGGACCCCCTAGAAGTTTTTTTGCCAGTGCGTATCAAGTGTCAATTTTGACATGGGCCCCTACCCAAGTCTGTCACTAGTTATATGACTCTGGATAAATATCATAACCGAGAAGCCACACCCCATGTTACCTATAGGGACCAGGTGATAAGATAGATCAGTCCAACTGGCTGGGGATCTGGGTGCAATGGCTCACACCGGTAGTCCCACATACTCTGGAGGCAGAGGTGGGAGGATCACTTGAGCACAGGAGTTCAAGGCTGCAGTGAGCTATGATCACATCACTGCACTCCAGCCTGGGCCATAGATCAAGACCCTGTCTCTAAAATAAAAAACAAATGAATAAAATAAAAAATAAAAACCAAACTGGCTGGGTATGGGACACAATAAACTAGATTGTCATCTTCATTAAGCCCTGGATGGTTATTGTGATGCCAGACTATGGGCCTCTTGTTGCCAGGTCTCCAGATTTTCAAAAGAAGTTAGAAAACCAGGTGCACATGTGTGTGTGCATGTGTGCATGCATGCCATCTTCTGGTTTTTCAGTCTTCACAATGAATTCATACTCTAACTGAGACTGTGCAGGCCAAGTTTGGCCTTTGAGTTGCCAGTCTGCAAGTGCTTCATCATGACCTCTCTGTGCCACAGATCCTCCTCTGTGAAAAAGGGGATGCTTTTCTGCATAAAATGTAGGATTCCCTACAGCTCTGACATCTTTGTGATTCAGTGACTCCTTTCCTTGACTTATCTCTAGCCCTTTGGGGACTTCCCTGGCATGGGTGTTCTTTTGGAAATTGGTAATATACTGCCATACTAGGTCAGTCTCCCTTCTCCTCTCTCTGTCCATTCTCCCTGAAGCTCCTGAATGCCTCAGGAAGATTTCTAAAAAGCTGTTCTAGCCGCAGCTTGGTAATGGATACTCTAAAAGTTGTTCTCCATGGCTTGGTAGTCCAGTTTACTTAATGCGCTTGCTTTTTTATGATAAACTTGTGGGTTTGTTCCGGGTGACTCTATTCTATTTCATGGACACAGAATGCATCCTTCTCTCCCCAGCTACATCTCTAATGCTGTCTGTTGAGAGGAAGAGTCTGAACAGCAAAAATCTATCATAGCGACCAGGGAAACCACTAAACATTGTTTTGAGAATTGAGATTACTCACTTTTCTGGGTTCTGGCCTGTGGGATTAAGGCATTGAGCTTTATGGTCACTAGTGTAAAAGAAAAACCTGAGCACACTTCAGAATGAGAGGATGTTAGAATGGAACTCCTCCTGCCTCTGTTTAAATGGAGGGGACGCTATGATAGATGTCAGATACCAAAGTGAGTGAGACAGGCACTCCCTCTCCCAATTAGAACATTTAAGAGGAAATGTCTTCAAGAATCTGTTCCACCGTCCTTGAACTGCACCAAAAGATCAAGATAGACAGAAAGGCTGGGGTGGGGTGGGTGTAGTGGATATTGCTGATACCCCTTCAGAGCACTTTGACCCGTGGCCCTACCCTCTCCCACCCACCAGCTCCTGAGAGTTTGTCTCCTACAATTCTCAGCCACCCCCTTCTCTGGCGAATTGCACATTGTCAGACAACCTTGGCCCGCAAAACTTAATCCTACTAGCAGGAGGAAATAAACTGAATTCCTTGCCCCAAAGTAGGACGGTGTTTGTGATGTGCTTTGGGCTGCAGAATTTTCCCTGTGGGATGAGACTTAAGCTAGTCTCTAGCTGGGGTCTTGCTTGGTCTGCAAGTGCTGGACCCCCGATCCCCACCACCTTTCCCCCCACTTTATCCTTTTCTTCATTCCACTTCTAATGAGAACACTTCCTCAGTAAGTCACTTAAACAAGAATCCTCACTTCAAGCTCTGCTTCTAGGGAGACTGACCTAAGACAGAGGAGGTGCACCTGCTGGAGAGTGGTGGTATACCTTGAAGACAGGGACTTCATGGCAACTACAGGCAGAGCTTTAAGTGCTCCCTGCAACCAAGAGAGAAAAACGGCTAGTCCCTCACTCAGGCTTGAGGAAGGAAAAGTGAACTGTGAATGGTGTCTTGAAGCTCTAGAGGCAACTGCCTCAATGGTGGAACCAGCAGTGTGCTGCTGCCTAGAGATGTGCCTGACTCCATATGGTAGGGAGATAAGGGATCCAGGAGTGTCTCATGGGCCAGTGTGGGCCAAGAAGAGCAGTGTGGGTGTTAAAACATTATTCATGATGCTTGGTAAGATGGTAAGGAAGACTGTATTTAAGGGAGGCCATAGCGACATGGATTGGGACCACAGAAATGGGGTCTTGTAGTGGGGGAGAGAGAATGGACTTGATTTCCCTTCCTTCCTTCCTTCTTTCCTTCCTTCCTTCTTCCTTTCCTTCCTTCCTTCTTCTCTTCCTTCCTTCTTTCCTTCCTTCCTTCATTCTTTCCTTCTTTCCTTCCTCTCTTTCTCTCTTTTTCTCTCTTTCTCCCTTTCTCTTTCTTTCTCCCTTCCTTCCTTTCTCCCTTCTTATCCTCTCTTTTCTTTTTTCTTTTCTATTTTCTTTTCTTTTCTTTTCTTTTCCTTTCCTTTCTTTTCGACAGTCTTGTTCTGTTGCCCAGGCTGGAGGACAGTAGGGAGATCATGACTCACTGAAGCCTCGAACTCCCCGGGCTCAGGTGATTCTCCCACCTCAGCCTCCCGAGTAGCTGGGACTACAGGTGCATGCCACCACTCCTGGCTAACTTTTGTGGAGATGGGGTTTGGCTATATTGCCCAGGCTGATTCCAAACTCCTGGGCTCAAGCAATTCACCTGTCTTAGCCTCCTAAAGTGCTGGGATTACAAGCATGATCCACTGAGCCCAGACTTCGGCTTGACTTTAATTCCAACAAGGACAAGTGGGGATTTATAGCCACGGAGCAGGATAGGAGTCAGTGGATGGAAAGTGACTAAGAGGAGAGATCAGGTTTAAGGGAGATTCTTGCTAGATGGACTCAACAGAATTCTTGCTGAAGGTATACTGGGTGCAGTGGCTCCCACCTATAGTCCCACCTATTTGGGAGGCTGAGGATTGAGGATCACTTGAGGCCAGGAGTTCAAGACTGTATTGTGCCATGATTACACCTATGCATAGCCACTGCATCCCAGCCTGGGCTACATAGAGAGACCCTGTCTTAAAAAAGAAAAAGAAAAAAAAGTATTCTTGCTTAAGGCAGGCCAGGGTAAGATATTGAAGGTGGTCAGATACCCAGTGTGGAGAATTTTCACTAACCTGACTTAGCAGGATTCTTCCTCTAACTGGATTCTACAAAGACAGAGAAGGAAACCCAAGGTCTGGCCTAGTCAGAAAAGACCCAAGGCAGCCTGACTCAAGCTTGGCCAAAGAAGAGAGCCTTTGTCAGGAGCTCTTTTTGTCAACTAGGCTGCCTGGAGGGGCCTATGTATCTTGAGGTGAAGAAAGTGTCACAAATGGCCATTGAAAGAGTTCAGAAAGTGCTACCCCAAAATATGCTACTTTGGCATATTAATTATTTTGAACTAAAGGCAACTGAGAATGAGCCAACAAAGGAAAAGCCCTTTACTTTCCCCTCAGCTGCCTAAACTAAAGCATAAGTTTTCTCATTTAAAGGAATTTTATTTTATTTTTTGAGACAGTCTCACTCTGTTGCCCCGGCGTGATCTCAGCTCACTGCCACCTCTACCTCCCAGGTTCAAGCGATTCTACTGCCTCAGCCTCCCGAGTAGCTGGGATTACAGGTGCGTGCCACCACACCTGGCTACTTTTTGTATTTTTAGTGGAGACAGGGTTTCCTCATGTTGGCCAGGCTGTTCTTGAACTCCTGACCTCAAGTGACCTGCCTGCCTCAGCCTCCCAAAGTGCTGGGATTACAGGCGTGAGCCACCGCGCCCAGCCTAAAGGAATTTTCTAAAGACATTTTTATTACTAAAGATATCTTTTATTACTAAAGATATCAGTACCAGAAAGAGAGCTACTCCTAGACAACTTTTCTCACCTGAGAGACGCTTATCTGCACCACACGACAACCTTTATTCACCATACATTTCCTCTCCTCTTCCCATAATTTGTCTCCACCCATCTTCCCACCCAGAAATTCTAACCCCTATTCCTCTCTGTAGCTCCTGATAATATATGAGTTTCAATCATCTGACCCCTTCCTTGAGTCTTATATTTTTGTGGGTCTCCTGTGTGTGCAGACACAATTCAATTTTTTTTCGCCTGTTATTCTGTCTTATTTCAGTTAAATTCTTGGACCAGTCACAGATTCCAGAAAGGTAGAAGAAAGCATTTTTCCTTCCTTGCACCACCCAAAGGAGAGCATGATCAGCCCAGGTCAAGGGAAGAGCAAGAAACTCTGAAGAACCCATGAAATCTCCCATGAGAAAAGAATCAACTGCTACCCTCTCTTGTTCTCATCCAAGGTTTCCCACTTCAACCATTACCAAGTTCAGCCAAGTAACAGTGTCATATTTTCTTCCTTTTCCTCCCTCTCCCTATTTTGACCCCAGCCAGAGAGAAATCACAGGTGGCACAGGTGAGCTGGGAGAAAAGAGAGAACGGAAGGATCACAAACTCCTTCCACATGCAGGCTTTCGACACAAGCCCAGGCTGGAGAAGAGGTGATGGTTTAGCCCTGATCTCACGTTTGGATTTTTTATTATTATGTGAGACCAACTATATTAACTTTCTAAAATAGGATTGTTTTACAACTAAAAGTGACTAACACTGAGAGTGGCCCAAGACTCTCCATGAACAAGAAAAGTTTGTCTCCACTGATAAGAGTTTAAAATGATGGAGCAAGACAAATATAGTGTTTGGATCACATTCTATGGGTCATGCTTGTACAACATATGGTTACATAAGCACAGAGCAGCAGGGACTTCCCACCGCTTCCCTAAGAGAAGCCCTGTACTGATTCTGTCAGCTGCATTCTCAGCCTTGGCTCCTGGGATAAAAATGTCTATTGGATGAGGATCTGAAACATCAGATTCTGAAACTTTTTGTCTGGGAAAGTGCCAGGTGACTCAGAGCTGCGTAATGTAACGAAATGAGTCAGATCATCTCTCAATGTGCTCTAAATGAATCTGCTGTCTTTAAAATGGTGGCAGCCTTTCTCCATGGTCCTGGTTGGAAATAAGTACGTTCATTTATTCATTCATGTTTGAGCAGCTATCAGGTACTGAAGATTAAAAAAACAATGAAACACAGGCATAAGCTGCAATGATACAATCTGCTTTGTGCTCTTCTTTTAGTGCAGAGGAGGAAATGACTCTAACAGAGATGGTAATTAAAATGAGGCTTGATCAGGAACTGCTAAAATTGGTAGATCTCAACCTCACTGGTGTGTTTGGAATCACCTGAGGTTCCTTGAAAATACCATCTTTTACCCTTGAGAGATTCTGATTCATTGGTTTGGGCTTCTGTTTGGGCATCAAAATTTATTTAAAAAATTCCCCAGATAATTCTAATGTGCAGTCAAGATTGTGAACCCTTGCCTACATAAACATAACAAATCTAAGTACCAAGGTGCCAAGATGATAATAGGTGTATTAACATTTTATTTTTATATGAATTAGACATTTTCAGCTTATGAAATGAAAGCCAGGGATAAATATTTTAATGTGTGCATGAGCCTTTGACAATCTTTTGTATTCCTCTTCAGATATCTAATTTATTAATAAAAGAAACACTAGCACATGTTACCACCTATCAGAGAGCACATTTTTTCCAATGATCTTTATAGATTATCATTTTTCACTTTTCTGTAAAATCTGTTTTTACTAATAGACTCTGGTCTTGAACTAGTCTATAAAAACAAAGTTCATACATTAAAATGTTGAGTAGAATATTAATAAGACATATCTATTAGTTCATAAGAAACAATCTTTTAATTTTTCTTGGAGGTTTCAGTATCTCTGATGCAATAGTAGAGGCTGCCTTAAAAACTAAAATAATATTCATTTCTGCTGGATCTTTGAGTAAAATATAAAAGAAAAAAAGAAAAAAGAAAATCAAATAATAATATACAAGATGCCAAAACTTCAAATTAATTCGCCAGCTTGCTCCTGGGTGTCAGTTATAGAAAGAAAAGATGAAAAAAATTCCAAGATTTTATACAAATTTACTATATGTTTTTGTTTTAAAAATCATATTAGAACTAAAGGTGAAAATTAGTCAGTTGTAACTTCCGGGTCCATCACTAGCCATGTAATTTGTTTTATACTCTGAAGGCAAATGTCCAGTGTGAAATAATACCAGGTACTTACCTCAGGTAACTTCAATTGTTTAAAAACACCCACACCCACACGCACCAATGTCCATGTGGTAGCCACATGTGGGAGTGATTCTTGCCTATTCCATCAGTAACATTTAGAAGGGGTAGAAAATTGATGTTTTTTCCTTTTTATATCATTACGTACATTGTCTTCAAAGTATTTTTTAAGTTCTCTAAATCAATTTTTTCTACCCATCTCTCTCTTTAAAGTGGTCTTTTCTTTCTGATTTTTTGTTTCCCAGTCTCCCTTCCCTCTCCTCCCCTCCCCTCTGCCCCCTTCCTTTTCTCTCTCTCTCTCTCTCTCTTCTTTCTTTCTTTCTTTTGAGACGAGAGTCTCACTCTGTCACCCAGGCTGGAGTGCAGTAGCACCATCTCAGCTCACTGCAACCTCTGCCTCCTGGGTTCAAGCGATTCTCATGCCTCAGCCTCCCGAGTAGCTGGGACCACAGGCGTGCACTACCACGCCTGGCTAATTTTTGTATTTTTAGTAGAGATGGGGTTTCACCATGTTGGCCATGCTGGTGTTGAACTCCTGACCTCAGATGATCTGCCCACCTCGGCCTCCCAAAGGGCTGGGATTACAGGTGTGAGCCACTGTACCTAGCTCCCAGTCTTTCTTTCTATTAATCAAACTGTATTCTCAGTGATAATAGTGGCCCCTCCACTCACTTAGTCCAATCTTTCATTCATTAATCCACTATTTGTGATATGACAATTAATTCTATTATAATCAAATGTCCTGCTGCAGATAATGGCTTGTGACATCAAAATTTTGGAAAGAAAAGACTTGTTGATTTCTTTACTGATAGATTGAGTATCTTGCTTCATATTCCAACTCTCTTTGAGCAGAGTTTAATCAACAGGGCAACTTCTTGGTATATAACAAAACCCGACGCTAGTGTCCCTGGGCAGTCTCTCTTACCTGCCACCTTCTCTTCACCCCCACTTCTCACTAGTCCCTTTCACCAGGTGGCTGGGAACCTGTGATAAACCAGAGTAAAATGCTTAACTACATTAGGAGGTTGAAGAATCTGCATCATAAACTGTTCTGTTTTCAGCAGGTATTTCTTTTTAAAATTCTTTCCGCCATTCTTTTTTGCCTTCCCCTCTTTACTCCCATTGTCTTATTCTTCTATGTATGTTTTTTTTGTTTGTTTTCTTCCTTCCTCTTTCATCCATCTCCTGTACCAACCTATGTCACAGCCAGAGATCTTCGGGCATTATTGACCGTCACCAGTAGCCCCAATGCCTTCTGAGAAGTCCCTCGCCTGTCAGTTCTTTCAGCACAAATTAATGGAGGGCTGAGACACTTAAAGATGTAAGTCCTGAAAGTCACAGGGGTGCCAGGGGGAAGCTATGCTCTGTGAAATGTGACCACAAAAGGATGCAATGGATTTTCGTCACAGTCGTTTCTGAGACTGTTTCAAAAGTGAATATCCCAGGATGTTTGAGGTATTGGTATAAAAGCTGGAGCCCCTCAAGGCCACTATTTTGAAATAAACAGTACTAATTTGCATGTGTGTCAGAAGGAAAAGAATTAATGTGTGGAGGTTCCCTGTCATTCCCTTTCTTCTTGTGCCAAAGAGAATTCTGAGTTGTTCTATTTGGCTTTCTGCCCCATCCCCAAGGTAGATCTTAGATCTTTTTGATGGAGAACAGGGAGATAAGGGGAAAGAGAAGAGAAACACTACCTCAGAGAAGAGTTTTCCTAGAAATTGATAAGATGTGAAGCAGTAGCTGCTGCAATGAGGGAGGAAGTACAGGAGAGGGGAGGAGGATGACGATGGGCAATGTTCATATCTCCCTTTGTGGTCTTGGTATCTCCTTCAAAGTATTCAGGAAATGCAAGTAAAGAATGTAAATTATTAAAAAATTTCTTTGACTGTGACACTGCCCTGAGGCTGAGCAGAGAGATGGCTCCATAAATTGAATAGATCTTTGCTAAACCAACTAAATAACCCTGATTTCTACTCTGGTTGATGAAATCCAGTCTTGTTCCATTATCATTACACCTTGTATATAACATGGGTGACACAAGCCACAGCTCATCAGACCAAGGACAGACATTTACAGGTCTTTGGTTGATTCTTGTCCTTGAAGTCTTCAGGACATGGGGTGCTCCTTGCTATTTCTTACTTGCCACAAGTGGAAATGGTTTCTTAATAATTATTCCAGAAAATTCTCACAATCCCATAAAGGAAGAGTAATACTGATACAATTTCACTCATCTATCACCATTATGTATGCTAAAAAATAAAAGAAAGAAAGTTTTAAACCATGACTGTCACAAACCTCTTTTGTCATTAAAAAAGCACTGTTATGAAAATCAACATTGTATATCATGTTCTTCAGTCCAGTGCTTTGTCACTGAAAGGCAGTTGCCAGCCTGGGCAACACAGCAAGACCCCATCTCTGCAAAAAATATAAAAACTAGGCAGGCTTGGGAGGCTGAGGTTTGAGGATCACTTGAGCCCAGCAAATTGAGGCTCAGTTAGCTATGATTGTGCCTGTGATTGTGACTGGGCGACACACAAGCCTGGGCAACACAGCAAGACCCTGTCCCTGTCTCAAAAAAAGAAAAAAGAAAAGAAAGGCAGTTGCCAAAATATTTACCATAGTGTGGCAATAAAATAATCCAAGTGTTCTCTACCATGGGAGTGAGTTGGTAAGATATCTAATACTGGTAAAGTAGATTCCAGATTGTCCCTAACGAGTGTCCTCCCCCTCCTCACCTCTGTCTCCCCAGTTTTCAGGCAAGTCTGGAGGCCTAGTGGGGTCTAGTTTTATAAGTGACCAAGGAACTCCCAAGGTAGAAAGAACTCATCCTAAGGCACCAAAGAAGCAGACAAGTTGGATTTAAGGACAACAGCAAGTCAGAGGGGAGGGGTGATTCTGAGTCTCACACAGGATCTGTCATTTAGATTTTACTTTAGATTCCTATCTGAGCCCTAGAGTAAGAGAAGATTGAAAAAAAAAGTGAGTAATCCACTAAAAGAGCTTTTGAGCAGATGCAGCATCCTCATGCAGTTTCTGTTGTTTTGGGCACAGCAGGAGGCAGCACCTTTAGCTCACACAACAGGGTCCTTGACATCTGGCACCGCTGTAGGCTTTGTTGGAGACCAGGAGCACTGCTAATACCTTTGTCTTTTTGGTGGAGGCAGCAAAGAGAGGACACATCACACAGCAAGCCCCTGGAAAAGGAGGAGGAAATGGCCGGGCGCAGTGTTTCACACCTGTAATCCCAGCACTTTGGGAGGCCGAGGTAGGCAGATCACCTGAGGTCAGGAGTTCAAGACCAGCCTGGCCAACATGGCAAAACCCCATCTCTACTAAAAAATGCAAAAATTAGCTGGGCGTGGTGGCAGGCTCCTATAATCCCAGCTAGTCGGGAGGCTGAGGCAGGAAGAATTGCTGAACCTGGGAGGTGGAGGTTACAGTAAGCCAAGATCGCGCCACTGCGCTCCAGACAGAGCGAGACTCCATCTCAAAAAACAAACAAACAAACAAAAACCCTGGAGGAAATGATGGATGAGTTGAGAAGCAGAAGGAACAATTCCCCTCAGACAGACACTTCAAAAACCTTGGAATCACCCTGGACCCTCCTTCTCTTGCACCCCATACCCAACTCACCAGTACACCCTGATAGATTTCCTTTAAAACATACTCAGAATCTGACCACTTCTCAATACCCTGCTGTACTGGACCACCCTTGATAAAGGCACCATCATCTCATTGAACTGTTGTAGCAACCTCCTAACTGGTCTCCCTGCTCCCACCCTCACCCCACTCTAGTTTATTCTCGCACAGTAGTCAGAGTGATTCTATTGAAACAGAAGTCAGTCCAAGTCACTCATCTACTCAAAACACTCCAATGGATTTCCATCTCACTCTCAAGGAAAGGCAAATTCACGAATGACCTTCAAGTCACTACAGTGCTCTTCAAGGGCCTACAGAATATTCTTATCCCCTCTCCCCTGCCTACCCTTCTGAACTCTAACCTCTATCCTCTTACCTACTTTTCTCCAGCTACACTGACCTCCTTAATGTTCTTTAAACAGGCCATGTGTGTTACAGCCCAGGGCCTTTGCATTTACTGTTCCATTTTCTAGATCAATTTCCTATTAGATATCCACATGGCTTAGTTGCTCCATTATTTCCTTTCTGTATTTGCCTAAGAATCACCTTCTCTATGAGATTTTTACTGGCTGTCCTATTTAAAACTGCAAAGCCCCCAAAATTCACACTTCCTGTATCCCCCTTCCTGGCTTTATTTTTATCCATAGTATTCATCACCATGTAATCTTATATATAGCATATATATGTGTGTGTGTATGTGTGTGTGTGTATGTATATATATATAATTTTTTTTTATTTGAGACAGTCTCACTCTGTCGCCCAGGCTGGAGTGTAGTGGCGCCATCTCAGCTCACTGCAACCTCTGCCTCCTGGGTTCAAGAAATCCTCATGCCTCAGCTTCTCAACTAGCTGGGATTACAAGCGTGCACCAGCACGCCCAGCTAATGTTTGTATTTTTAGTAGAGATGGAGTTTTTGCCATGTTGGCCAGGCTGGTCTCAAACTGCTGACCTCAGGTGATCCACCCACCTTGGACTCCCAAAGTGCTTGGATTACAGGTGAGAGGCACTGTGCCCGGCTGCATTCTATATATTTTAGCTGTTTGCTTTGTTTTTTCCTTCTTCTCTCCCACTGAAATGAAAGCTGGCAAGAATTTTCTTTTCTGCTTATTGTTATAGCCCTTGTCCCAGAAAAGCCTATAATATGTAATTGAGTGAACAATAATAATAATGCACATTGGGTTCTTATTCTGTGCCAGGCACTCTGCTCACTTATACATTATTTTATTTAATCCTTACAACAACCTTACTAAATGGGTTGGACACATCAGTCCAACCTTTGCCTTGTCTTCCCGTGGTCTTCTTCCCCATGTCTCTCTGTGTCTTCTCTATTGCTAGACAGGGGTAATAGACAAGGTTCACACAGAACAATGCAACTTACTGTAGATATTTCAAGCAGAAATAAATTAACACAAGGGATTGCTAATTTGGCACCCACTGTGGCTGCCTGACCTCCTTCACGCTCTGGAGCTCCACTGACACATCCTCAAGGTAATGTCATTTCCCATTCTTGGAAGAAGAGCTCTGATTTCCCTGACTCTCCCTCTCCAGCTTGGTTTTAGTGACAATCAAGAACAATCCCTGTAAGGGAGCTGTCACTTCTACTCAGACATTTCTCCCAAAGAGTGACAACTTAACTTGGGTTCTTTCCCCTCTTGCTTGTGAATTCTAGGCACAATGGTACATATTTTAAGGGAGGGAGAAAGCAGAAATCCTAGCAGAAACTAAATGGGTTGTGGTAAGGATTAAATAAAATAATGTATAAATGAACAGAGTGCCTGGAGTGTCAGGAGTCCTCAAACCAAACCAATTTCAATGATTCACTAGAAGTACACGCAAGACTCAGGATATAGTCTTACTCAAGGCTAAGATTTATTACAGTAAAGAGTACAAAGTAAAATCAGCAAAGAGAAAAAGCACATGGGGTAAAGTCTGGAGGAAACCAGGTGCAAGCTTCAAAAGTCCTGAGTCAGGTAGGATGTGCTTAATTCCTCCAGCAACTTATTGTGACAACACGTGTGAAATGTTGTCTATCAGGGAAGCTCATTAGGGCCTCAGTGCACAGGGTTTTCACCAGGGGCTGGTCATGTGGGCACTCTCTGTCTAGCATGTACCAAAATGCTAGACATGTACCAAAAAACAGGTGTTCAGCATAAATCGCAGTTTTACAAACAGTCTAGGCACGATAAGCCTCTCTTATCATTTAGGGAATAGTAGGAACCCTCATCAAATCTAAGTTACCAGACACCAGGCAAGGGTCAACCCTGCCATCAGGCCTTTCTGAGAATAGTAGTCTTGGGCCTGCTATGTAAACTTCTCACAGTAGGTACGCTGTTATCCCCACTTTGTAGATGAAGACAAAGGAGGCTTAGAGTAGTCAACTAGTTACTTAGCTGGCAAATGGTGGCACTGAGATGTAAACACAGGTTTATCTGAATCCCAAGCCTGTGCAATAACCTGTGAATTATAATACACTGAAATTTTATTTAAAAAATTTGAGAGTTACTACATTTCAGTCAAATAAGTAGGTATATTCAGAGAAGTGAAGTGCTTTTTCTTTTCTCTTCTCTCTTTTTTTTTTTTTTTTTGTTGTTGTTGAGACAGAATCTCACTCTGTCACCCGGGCTGGAGTGCAGTGGCACAATCGCAGCTCACTGCAACCTCCACCTCTGGGATTCAAGCGATTTTCCTGCCTCAGCCTCCTGAGTAGCTGGGACTACAGGCGCACACCACCATGCCCAACTAATTTTTGTATTTTTAGTAGAGACAGGTTTTCACCATATTGGCCAGGCTGGTCTCGAACTCCTGACCTCATGTTCTGCCCGCCTCAGCCTCCCAAAGTGCTGGGATTACAGGAGTGAGCCAACGTCCCCGGCTTTTTTTCTTTAAATCATTGTTTGAACTTCTTTTTAACTTAAGCTTGGTAAGCCTAGGAAATGCAAATCATATTTAATGAATGCAGGAAACTTTGTCATGAATGAGGAAAGAATAAAGAAACCAGTGTGCTATGGGTATGAATCCTTAGAAAATATCTAAAAATTGGCCGGGTGCAGTGGCTTATGCCTGTAATCCCAGCACTTTGGGAGGCCAAGAAAGGTGGATCACCTGAGGTCAGGAGTTTGAGACCAGCCTGGCCAACATGGTGAAACCCCCGTCTCTACTAAAAATACAAAAAATTTAGCCAGGCGTGGTGGTGGGTGTCTGTAATCCCAGCTACTTGGGAGGCCGAGGCAGGAGAATCACTTGAACCTGGGAGGTGGAGTTTACAGTGAGCCGAGATCACACCATTGCACTCCAGCCTGGTGACAAGAGTGAGATTCCATCTCCAAAAAAAAAAGGAAGAAATATATAAAAATTACAAGAGATCAGGGAGACAGTATTTGTCCCAGATCCTGGAGGTAACAGACAAGGTTCACACAGAACAATGCAACCTACTATAGGTATTTCAAGCAGAAAGAAATCAACACAAGGGATTCCTAATTTGGCACCCACTGTGGCTGCCTGACCTCTCTCATGCTCTGGGGCTCCATTGGCACATCCTCAAGGTAATGTCATTTCCCATTCTTGGAAGAAGAGCTCTGATTTCCCCAACTCTCTCTCCCCAGCTTGGCTTTAGTGACAATCAAGAACAACCCCTACAAGGGAGCTGTCACTTCCACTCAGACATTTCTCCCAGAGAGTGACAACTTGGCTGTGGCTTCTTTCCCCCTCTTGCTTGTGAATTCTAGGCACAATGGTATATATTTTAAGGGAAGGGGAAAAGCAGAAATCCTAGCAGAAATATGAGCTATATTCTCTTCCCCCTGGGTTTCATCTGTTCAGCATTAGTCCAGAATCTGGTAATGAGAATGAAAGAAAGGACAAGATGACCCATGCAGAGTGCAGCAACACCTTCTTGTTCTCAAGTCACAGATGAAAAAAAAAAAAACTGTTCTGACAAGAGATTTGCGTAGACTTGAAAGGTCTTCACTAGATTCACTTCGTGCTGCTATCCCACAGCCCCACTGTATGATGCTTCTCTCATCTTAGTCACCAATGGAGCTTGCAGGAACCAATTTGCCTGGCCCTGAGCTTCTCTTCCTCTTTTTACCTCCAGCCTTTTGTTCGTTTTGCTACTTTTAGGTCCACAACAGCGTAAGTCCCCTAAATTTTCTACATGTCAAATATAAAACTGTAAATGACACAAAATTTAATAAGGAAAAAAGTGAAAAACAGAAGTATAACATTAAAATTTAGTGTTCTCTGCTGGGTGTGGTGGCTCATGCCTATAATCCCAGCACTTTGGGAGGCCGAGGAGGGTGGATCACCTGAGATCAGGAGTTTGAGATCAGCCTGGCCAACATGGTGAAACCCTGTCTCTAAAAAAATACAAAAATTAGCCAGGTGTGGTGGCGCACGCCTGTAATCCCAGCTACTCAGGAGGCCAAGGCAGGAGAATTACTTGAACCTGGGAGGTAGAGGTTGCAGTGAGCCAAGATCGTGCCATTGCACTCCAGCCTGGGTGAAAAGAGTGAAACTCTGTCTCAAAAAAAAAATACATACATACATAAAAATAAAATAAAATTTTGTGTTCTCTGTGGATTTAGTATACTCCTTAAAATATAAAAACTGTATATCAAAGTTAATGAAATATTTGTATAATCACTGTCTCCAAGGGCCATATTGAAGACTGAGCGGGTAACCTTCATCACAATCTCCAAGCCCCTCAAGCTGCCTCCTTTGTCCTCAAGATGGCTAATATATTTTTTTCTTGCTGCAATAAGTTGATTTGCTTCTCCCCAAAAGATATGTCTAAGTCCTAACCCCGATACCTATGAATGTACTCTTATCTGAAGAAAGCGTCCTCATAGATATATTAAGTTATAAATCTCAAGATGAGATCATCCTGGATTTAGAGTGGGCCCTTATAAGAGATAATTCAATGGCGGGTCCTTATAAGAGAGAGCAATGAAGAAGACACATAGAGACACAGGGAAGAAGACCACGTGAAGAAAAGGTGGAGGTTGGACTGGGGCATCTACAAACCAAGGAATTGCAAGCATCGCTGGCAGCCCCCAGAAGCTGGGAGAGAGGCATGGAATTGATTCTTCCTGAGAATCTCCAGAGAGAACCAATCCTGCTGACACCTTAAATTTGGACTCCTGGCTTCTTAGAGTTTGAGAGAATAAAGTTCTGGGTTTTTTTTTTTCTTTTCTTTTCTTTTTTTTTTTGAGACAGAGTCTCACTCTGTCACCGAAGCTGGAGTGCAAAGGTGTGATCTTGGCTCACTGCAACCTCCGCTTCCCGGGTTCAAGTGATTCCCCTGCCTCAGCCTCCCAAGTAGCTGGGATTACAGGTGCATGCCACTACGCTGGGCTAATTTTTTTTTGTATTTTTGTAGAGACAGGGTTTCACCGTGTTGCCCAGGCTAGTCTCAAACTCCTGAGCTCAGGCAATCCACCTGCCTCGGCCTCCTGAAGTGCTAGGATTACAGGCGTGAGCCACCATGCCCGGCCCAAGTTCTGTTGTTTTAAGCCATCTAGTTTGTGATAATTTGTTAAGGAAGCCCTAGTGTAGCAGTGGAAAGGAAACCTAGCATGACTGTCTCCATTTTGCTCCTAACCACTTCCACTTCCCCACCTGCAGTGATATCTTTTAGGTTAACTGCTTTTGCTTATCTCTGCACATAGACCAAGCTAACTATGGGAAGAATTTAGTTTCTTATTTAACTTGAAAGAAGTACAACAGTAGTCCCATTCCAAAATTAACCCCCAAGGAGATAAGAAGAGTATATACACAAGTCACAATGTCGTGTTAAAGATTTATAGGAGCATTGTAACCTGACCAAGGACAAAAAAGCTTCACAAACTCCCCTTGGACTTCCAGTGCTGCCCAGATGTCTGTGGTCATCAGTCACCTCTTGACCTCAAGCCTCTCCCTCTTTTCCCTTTCCCTAACATAAAAAGAGCTTAAAATTCTATTAACTTAAGATGGATCTTTAGGACTCTAGTCCACCATCTTCTTGGTTTGCTGGCTCTCCAAATGGTCACTTTCCTTGCCCCAACACCTGGTCTCTTGATTTGTTGGCTGTCATATAGTGAGTAGCACGAGCTTCGAACTTGGGTACACAGGAAACAAGTACACTTGGTCATCTTTGCTGTTTTTCTATTGTTAGAGCCCACTCTGTACACCAGTTATTACTGCTGCAGTTTCATTATAATAGGGGTTGGCATGCTTTTTTTGTAAAGGGCCAAATAGTGAATATTTAGGCTTTGTGTGCCATGTCTCTGTCACAATTTCCCAGCTCTGCAGTTGTAGTGCAAAAGTAGCCACTGACAATATATAAATGAGTGGGTGTGGCTGTTTCCCAATAAAACTTTATTTACAAAAGCAGGTGGTAGGCCATAGTTTACTGATCCCTTAAAGGAAAAACTCTTTCTTCTACAGTCTCAACACTTCTGACACCATATATGTGAGGGTTTCCCCCATGCCAACCAATTCTCCAACTCTCTTGACACCAACTAGGTGTCCTACAAGTAAATTATGACAGTACTACCTGGAGTTAATGCAAACCTCACAGGTTAAGAGCTCAGTCCCACAAAACTGCCCCCCACTTCAGATGCCAGTCACAAGTCCCAGGTTGTCACTCATACTTTTGACCAATTTGACCTGATCTATAGATCAGGAGTTCCCACACCTCCTTCTTCTGGTTTGATAATTTAGTATAATTTTTCACAGAACTCAGGGACACACTTACTTATGTTTACTAGTTTGTTATAGAGAATACAATAAAGGATACAGATGAACAGCCAGATGAATAGCACAAAGTGGGAGGTTCCAAAGGGTCCCAAGTACAGGAGTTCTATCCCTGCGGATCAAGGGTGTGCCACCCTCCTGGCACATGGATGTGTTCACCAACCTACAAACGCTCTGTATCCCATCTTTTAGGAATTTTTTTGATGGCTTTGTTACCAGAAAGAGACCTCCATTCAGACCCAAAGAGAGGGTTCTTGGACCTTGTACAAGAAAGAATTCAGGGTGAGTCTATAGAGTGAAGGGAAAGGAAGTTTATTAAGAAAGTAAAGGAATTAAAAAATCGCTACAAAAAAGAATAGGCAGAACAGTAGCATGGGCTGCTCAACTGATTATACTTGCAGTTATTTCTTGATTATATGCTAAACAAGCGGTGGATTATTAATGAGTTTTTGGGGAAAGGGGTGGACAATTCCTGGAGCTGAGGGTTCCTCCCATTTTTAAACTATATAGGGTAAAGTCCTGTTGTTGCCATGGCATCTGTAAACTGTCATGGCACTGGTAGGAGTGCCTTTTAGCATGCTAATACATTATAATTAGCATATAGTGAGCAGTGAGGACAATCAGAGGTCACCTTCGTCACCATCTTGGTTTTGGTGGGATTTGGCTGGTGTCTTTACCACAGGCTATTTTATCAGCAAGGTCTTTGTAACCTGTATCTTGACCTCCTATTTCATCCTGTGACTTAGAATGTCTAACCTCCTAGGAATGCAGCCCAGTAAGTCTCAGTCTCATTTTACCCACTCCCTATTCAAGATGGAGTCACTCTGGTTCAAATGCCTCTGACAGCTTCATCACATAGGCCCAATCAATTATTAACTCAGTGTCTAGCCCCTCTCTCCTTCCTGGAGGATGAGGGGTAGGACTGAAAATTCCAAGCTTCTAATAATGGCTTGGTTTTTCTGGTGGCCAGCCCTCATCTTGAAGCTATTCAGGAGCCAACCAAGAGTTGCTTCATTAGAACAACAGATATTACTATTACCTAAGATATGTAAATGGATTTAGGAACTCTATGTCAGGAACCAGGGGCAGAGACCAAATATTAGAACACAAAATGCTCCTAGCACTTCTATTACTTAGGAAATGCAAGGGTTTTAGGAGCTCTGGGCACTAAAACTATGTTACAGCCCTGAATTGTAATGTTTTAGCCTGAGATCTTGGTGGCTCATCTCTTAGCAGTCCTCCTAGAGTCCTCTGTATACCATTGTAACCATAATAGGTTCATTGCCTGATGCACATGGCAAGTCAATATACTGTGACACCAGCAGAGAAAGAGGTTTAATCTCAGGGCCACAGAACAAGGAGGTGAGAAAGAACCTCAAATTCATCTCCCAGAGGAGTTTGGGACTAGGGTTTTTAAGGGTTTTGGAGTGAGCCAAAATCATTATTTGGTCAACGAGTGCAGGGTGAAGTCATGGGACAGGGAGATGAAGAAGCTATATTCTCATGCTGATCCCATTCCTCTGTGGGGGTCTTCAAACTGGCTACTGGAATTCGGGGTCTGAAAAACATCTTAAGCAATCCTTAAATAAAAGCCTTATGATTCTAATGTCAGAGAGCCTGTCTATAGGAATAACAGGGATGAAATCAATTCTTAAACAGTCTTAAGACCCTAATGTCAGAAATCCTACCTATAGAAACAATGGGCATTCAAATGGTCAGTATCTAGTGGTATGGTGACTTTTAGTAACAAGGAAGTGGGCCAGAGTACAGCCTGACTAATGCTTAAGTATAACTATATTTCTGTCCAGAAACTGGTATGCAATTTTTATCAACCCTGTGGGGATGGTTTTACCATTTCTCCCTGAAGCATTAAGAAGTCTTCATGCAAAAGAATTTCTGATGGCTTGTTTTGATTTCCCAAATTCTCTGATATAGATTTGCTTTGAGTTCCTATTTTCACCACTGGTTATCTTAAAATAATCATCTGACCCACTTTATTTCCTATTTCTCAGTTTAAAAAAATTCCAGTCACGAAATATCCTTTTCTTTTTCTTCTTACATCCTACAGACCCATTTTCATAGTGGATTTGTGGAACTAATGATAGACGCATTTGTGACTGGCATTTGATTGCACTGAGCTGTCAGCTGCCGTGGAGTATGCTTCAAAGTGTGCGGGTGGCTTCAAACACTCGGGCAAGCAGCCTTGCAGCTCTACACTGCTGAGTGGAGGAAATGACAAGAAAAGAAAGAAGGAGCTGTTTATTTTATGTAACTTTTATTTTAAGATCAAGAACAATGGGAGTGGGGAGGGGAGAGAGACACAGAGAGAGATGGATTCTTCCAAAACAATAAATGATTATTCAGAGGTAGGGGGAAAAATGCACAATGTAGTAAAAAAGAAAACAAAATTTTGTACCAGTAAACAAAAATCAGTTATTTGGTCTGTATAGGGCAGTGGAGCTTTAAAACACAAGTGTCAATGTGAGAGAAGAAGATTTGTTTGAATTCAGAAAGAAGTATTTGGGGTTGAAATGGAAAGTGAGATAGAACCCTTCACCAAAAATCTGAGACAAATAGATAGGCTCTGATCTACACAGTTCATCCTCTCTTTGACTGTCTAGTTTAGTTCCTATATTAATTTCCTATGGCTGCTATAACAAATTACCACAAACTTGATGCTTTAAGACAATAGAAATTTATTCCTTTATTCTCTCATGGTTCTGGAGTCCAAAAGTCCAAAATAAATATCACTGGGCTGAAATCAAGGTGTCTACAGGGTTGTGCTCCCTTTGGAAGCTATAGGGGAGAATCTTTCCTTGGATCTTCCAGCTTTAGTGGCTGTTGGTGTTTTTTGACTTGGGGCCACATTACTCCAATTTCTGCCTCTAAGGTCACACTACATTCTCCTCTTCTGCCTTCCCCTCTTCTGATTATGTCAAATCTCCCTCTGCCTCCCTCTTGTAAGGGTATATGTGATGGAGAAACTGCCTTCATAAAATTAATAAAAAGCCACAAATTAAAATTATGGTAGGGCCCCGAATTTTGTTAAGATATTTTTCTTTCTCTCTGACATTTTCCTCCTTCATACATTATTGCTTGCACATAAACATTTCAATAAACAATAGTCACTAATAATTGATTATCTTCCTATCCTAGCCCCCAGCCAGGACGTCTGCAATATTAATGAACTTGTTTTTCACTTAAAGAACAATGATCCTTAGCTCATGCAGACCACCTCAATGACTTCCAAAAGCTGAATTGGCTGAGGGGTTGAGCAGCTTTGACCACTGGGTATCTCATCTCCTGAAAACCTTTCTGCTAAGGTATAGGGATAGTTAAATGATATCCCACCATTGTTTCCTAGCTTGATTTTCTATAGTAACTGGCAGTCACAAACGCTATTGTGAAACCTAAGACTGGTCTTCAAGATATTTTTCAGACTTTGCATACAAGTGGACCAACTGATACCAACTGGACCAGTTGCCCTTGACCCCAACCAAGGAAGTGATTTGATTGGTCCTGTTACTCCCCTGCCTTCCTGAACTGACTCAATGCATGAAGACAGTTTCAATTTCATCCCCAGCACATCAGCAGCACCCATTCCCTAGCCCCCTGCCTGCCAATCCATCCTTAAAAATTCTAGCCTCTGAATTCTTGAGGAGATGGCTTTGAGAAATATCTTCCATCCTCCTTGCTCAGTTGTCTTGTGATAATTAAACTCTTTCTTTACTACAACACCTGCTGTCTCAGTGTTTGGCTTTATCTGTGCAGTGGACAAGAACCCTGTCAGGTAGTAACAATGGCCGGGAAGGCCCACCCAGTTAAAGGCTAAAGACTTTTTTTTTTCCTTTGGCCATATAAGGTAACATTCCCAGGTTATAGGGATTAGGATGTGCCTATCTTTTAGAGGACCATTTTTTCATCCCATGACAGCCCCCAAACTTTATACTCACCACCACCAACAAGAACAAAAGACAAAAGCAGTGCAGCTCAGACTCAACTTCCTCAGAGGGCAGTGAAGCAAGCCCCTTTGAGCAGGGTAAGAGAGCAAAGACAGTTGGCTCAGTTTACCAAATATTTCAACCACATACAGTGTTTCAGCCCATCCATATAGACTGGCTGCCCAGACATTACATGGTTGTCCTTTTCTTTAATCAGGCTCCTATAAGGGAGTGATTATGAAAATGACCTAAGAAATGCAAAGGTTGGGTCATATTTCAAATAGGCAGAAAGTCAGAAAAATTTTTTATATGAACGTGTTTCTAAGAAAATAATTGTTTTAAAATATGGTCACTGGAGACCCTGGATTCAAGGCATAGGGCTCATTGTACTGATACATATCCACTCATTCCTCTTGATTTAAACATACCTATAAAATTATACAAAACCAGGAAGCATTTTAAACTACTCCTTGGACACTTCCACATGAATATCCTGTCACATGCACCTCAACCTCATTATGTCCAAAACAGGACAAAATACCTTTCACCAGGAACCTGTCTTTTTTATTCATTGTTATATCTTGACAGCAGCTGTGTTAACCTGAGATAAATTAGCTTTGAAATTGAAAACCCTATGAAACTGTGTAAAAACTTTAGTATATGTGGGCTTATGCCTTTTTCAGGGGAGATTTCCATAGCTTTCATCAGATTCTCCCTGGAATCTTTGACCTCAAAACAGAAATGAAAGCCAGCTGTGGCGTGGCACTCAGCCAAGTCTGCATAAACATTTGCTGCATAGTGCTGGACATTCTCAGTAGAGAATGTCCACTGTTTATTTGCATGCATTTGTGTATTGTCATAAATTTTCAGGATGGCTGATCAGGGCTTAGGGTTCAGTAAGTCACTGTAAGACAAATTCTGTCACCATGTCTTTCCCGCTAAGTAGAGGTACATGTCTAGGATCAAGTACAAAAGCAAGGTCTTTACCTCTCTGAGGAAATGAATTTTGCCCTCAAGAATAAGGGAGCAAAGGACCTTACTGAGCATCTTTTCTGTGTCTAAGAATTATTTTGATATGCCAACATGTATCTAATAGACCTTCTTATTCTTGGAATAGCTTGTCCCATCCCCTCCAACTTTTCTTAATTCATCCTTCAGGTATCAGCTTAAATAAATATTTCTTCCTGAGTAAAAGACTTCCCTGATCAACAACCCTGGGAAAAGACCACAAACTCAAATTTTGAAATATTGGTCTGGTTTTTTACTGAAGATCTCCATGCAGGAAAGTGAACTGGATCACCAGCTAGAAGCTGGGGACTTGGGGACTATCACACTTTGCTCTTGACTCTGGAACACTCCAATATTTCCCTCCAATCCCATCCCTGCTCAGAATCACTTTGGCATCCACAGGGAAGGGAAGGCTTGTGCTTAGCAGCAAATAAATTTTGATAGGCTATTACATTTGAAAAAGAGATTAAAATGGACATTTTGAAAACAAAAACAGTCACAGTACTCCTTAGGAAAACTAAGGAAGACTAAGGACGCTATGTCATTGAAAACCATCATGATAAATGTTTAAGGGAATAAAATATTAAGGATTTTTTTCCCCACTGAATTTTTAATTTTTAGAAACTATAAAGTTCTATTGATTTGGAGGAATTGGTTTTCCCTTCACAATACATTCTTCTATCAGTTTATATTTTTTGCTTATGGCATTTATTACAATTATAATTAAATAACACATTTATATAATTTTATGTTTAATGACTTTCTTTTGCCCTTGTGCATAGCTCGGTAAGGGCAAGTAATGTCTATCTTTTGTATTGCCTGACAGTTCCATGCACATAGTGGATGCCAATAAATATTTGATAGATGTAATGGAAGGATTAATTAATATAGAATTATGATTGTTTCTCTTTCCCACTGAGAGCTGTCCTTTGACCATACCAGTTAATTATTGAATATGATTTCTTTTTTAAAATGTAGTCTTGGGTGTTTCAAATGAATATGATTCTTGAAGTGGTATTATTCTACATAGCTCTTCCTAAAGCAGGGCTTCTCAGTCTCAGCACAATTGTCATTTTAGACAGGATAATTCTTTGTTGTGGGTGTCTGTCCTGTGCATTGCAGGATGTTTAGCAGTGTCTCTGACCTCTACCTACTAAATGCCAGTAGCACCACCTCCCCCAAGTTGTGACAACCTAAAGTGTCTCCAAACATTGCCACATGTCCCCTGGGGGGCAGAATTGCCCTCCCGAGTAGAAAACCACTTATTAAAGGAAGAAGAGATATTTCTGAATCTGGGACACAATTCCCCTGGCATGATGTAAAAGGGGAAAATGAAACTGTAGCTGAATGCCCTAAAATCGAGGCATCTGAGGCAATCTTTGCTAGGTGTTTTGTTTTGCTTTGCTTCCATTTACTGTAATACATCTGTACTCCAAAAAATTATTGGTTTTTATACTTTGGTGTGTTTTTTTTAAGTATTATTTCTTAGTTTCTTTCTGCAAATACCTCTAGAAAAATTCCAGTTTTATCTCTGTTGAACTAAGAGGAAGAAGAATTTTATTTTTTAGAAATTCAGCAGGACAGTTACCTGACCCTGAGACAGATGGAAACCCAGAAAAGATCACAGAATAGGGGGCAGCTAGGATGTGGTTTCTGAGATGTCTGAGCCACTCTTCACAGTGTGGTTAGGGAGAGCTTCTGACAGCCTCCTTTGGACAAGCAACAAACCACATGGAAAGGTGACTGGAGCTACCAAGAGTCACATTCTTCAGAGGGTAGATGTTAGAAGTTACTTAGTAATATCTCAGTTTTGTGTTTTATCAGTTCTGGGTCTTTCTAAACAAAGCATCAAAGAAAGGGAGAATTTAGAGGGAATAATTTTTTTGGTTGTTTTTGCTTTAAAAATTAATGACAGCAGTTTCTGCATCCTGAGGAGCTATAAAACTCCTCTCCATAGAAAATCTGTTCAATTCTTTTTTTTAGGAATACATGAGGAATGAAGTTGCAAACTGAACACACACTAAAACTCAAAGGTACAAAGACATGTAACTTTAAGACAGTTATTTAGTTTCCAACAGCTGGAAGTCAAAAGCAGGATATTGATTTCTCCCTCCTCTTTGCATTTCCTCCTGCTACAAACCTAATTCTCCCAAAGGCAAGCAGATACCTCTGGGAGAACAGAGAAGAGGCCATGTATAAAATGATAAAAGATAAAAGTGGAAGTTATCATATTAATTGTAAAAAGCACAAAATCAATCCTTGTTATTTCCATTTCACTCATTAATGAGCCTTTTAGCTGTGAAAGGCAAGGCCCACAGACAATATTGTGCATTCAGGAGGATCGGACAACGTTCGGCATCATAAAGTTGAAGTGCTTCCTCCTGGGGTAAGGAAATTTTTTTAATGTAAAACAACTTCTATCCTCATCTGGATAGATACAAAAAGTGGAACTTATATAAAAGAGGAAATGGGAAATGAAAATCTGGGGAGTGAGGGATGTTAAAAGATAAACTTAGGCATGTTACAATGTTAAAGAATTCATTTGAGCAAACAGCAATTCATGAATTGGGCAGCACCAAATTGCAAGTGGTTTGGGCTCCACTGAAGGGGCCTAGGGGGAAAGTGCAAGAAGCAGATGGCAGGGGGGCTTTTATCTATTTTATTGATTAAACTAGAACAGTAGCCTTAAAGTCCCTAGTTAGAGGTTAGTTGGTGGTTTCTAATTGGTTAGACTTACATTTCATTTTATTGTTTTCATCAACTTGGGTTTTGGTTTGTTTAGTAGCAACCAAAGGCACTGGAGCCATCTCAGCATAATGGCCTCCCATTTAAATTTTCTTTAACAGGGGAATCCTTAACAATTTGGTGGGAGAGCAGGCCTGAGGGAGAGGACGACTACCAACAGGTCAGTCTTCATGGGAGTGAAGACTAGACTACAGGAATTGGGGTGTCTGATGTCTGACTCCCCACTGCTGACTCTCCATTGTCACCCTGTGGCAGCACTACTGTGGAGCATAAGGGTACAACTATGGTCCTGTTTGGGGATGAAGTAGACCAGAAGGAAATGGAGATTTTGTGATAAAATGACCAGAGGCCACTGAGAAGAATCTGGGAGCAGGAGTCTGGAGTGAGAGCTGACAGGCAACGACTAGTACGGGTGTCTTCCCCGACACCAATCCAGATCTGGGTCCTTCCAGGTCTATATGAAGGAGATATAATTTTCTCATGTTAAATGTGAGTGTGGTAGATTCAAAATGGACCCAAATTCTTTGTCACTCCCCACATTGAGAAGGGGTGTTTATTTTCCACAGTCTTGAATCTAGTCTGGCCCTGTGACTGCTCTAACCAAGAGAATGTGGTGGAGTAATGCTGGGCCAATACTGGGCCTAAGCCTTGAGAGGTCTGGCACCTTCTGCTTTGTAGAACCCTGTGTCACCTCGTGGCTATGGTTCTAGAAAGAACACATGAAAAACCACATAGAGGCCAGGTGACAGTGTGAGGCTCTGAGCGGGGATGGGGTTCAGGACACAATGCTCCAAAATATGACTGGAGGAGGCAAAAATGCCACCACAGATGTGCTTCTTTGGCATGAGGATTATTTTGAGCTGATTATTTTGAGAAACTGTGGACACAGGGGAAGCTCTGAAAATAAGGGTAAAAGTACCCCTGTGTAAGAAAAATTTACCTCTCTAAACAAAATCTCCATTTGAAAGGGTGTCTCCAGAGGGATCATGGTGATGGAAGGCAGAACTAGATTGCAGCTCTGACTCGAATGGACAGAGCAGCATGTGGAGGCTCACGTCAAGAATTTTTGCTCCAGAATGACTGCAGGAATGAATCAGGAAACCTGGAGGACCCACAGACCCTCTGAAGGAAGCGGACTGCTCCTGTGGGACCCAGGAGACATCCCAAATACTGTGCTGTTATTTACAGCTGAGAGACCCACAGACAGTTCACATCACAGGACTCTGTGCAGACAACCTTCCCTGCACCCTGTCGGCCCCGGAGCCTGGTAGACTTGCTGGGTGGCTAGATCCAGAAGAGAGATAACAATCACTAGAGCTTGGCTTCCAGGAAGCCACATCCAGAGGAAAAGGGGAAGAGTACTACATCAAGGGAACACCCTGTGGGACAAAAGAATCTGAACAACAGCCTTCAGCCCTAGACCTTCCCTCTAACAGAGTCTACCCAAATGAGAAGGAACCAGAAGACCAATTCGTAATATGAAAGGGTGTCTGCCTCTGTACCATGAAGAGAAGGATGACTCGGAATCACTAGAAACCCAATGGAGAAGGCACCAACTTAAATCTGCATAACAAACCTAACCCTTGTTTACTATGCTTTTCCTGGGCATCTCCTCATTGCTGCCCCCTTCACACACACATACACACACACACACACACACACCTTCTACAAAACAAACTTCTACTATTTTTTCTCTTGTTAATCTGTCTTTTGTTACAGGGGTCTGTCTCAACTAAGAACCATGAAGGATAGAGGAAAAATTATTTTTCCTGTCCTACAGATGACATAGAGAAAAAGAGTAACCCATACAAATCCAGCCTTCAATCCATCCTTGCCAAGGTGCCAGACATGTGAATGAACCATTGGTTATTGCAGCCTGCTATGGTTTGAATGTGTCCCCTCCAAAATCCAGGGGTTGAAACCTAATAACCAATGTGATCGTATTGAGAGGTGGGTCCTTTAGTAAGTGATTAGGTCATGAGGGCTTCTTCCTACATGAATGTAATTAAGGCTCTTATAAAAGAGGCTTCATGCAGTATTAGACTCTTTTGCTCTTCTATCTTCTACCAGGTGAGGACATATTGGTCCTCCTCTCTGGAGGATGCAGGAACAAGGAACCATCTTGGAAACAGAAACTGGGTTCTTACCAGACACCAATTATGCCAACACCTGGATCTTGGACTTCCCAGCTTCCAGAACTGTGAGAAAATATATTTCTGTTCTTTATAAAGTACCCAGTCTCAGGTATTTTGTTATTGCAGTGCAAACAAAGACCATAATCTCATTGCACCTGCATGAGACTCCAAAAGAGATCAGCAGAAGACCTCCTGGCTGACCCCCATCAATCCATAGAAGTATGAGATAGTGGTTGTTTTAGGCCACTACGTGTTAGGGTGCTGTGTTACTAGCTACAACAGTGGGATAGGGCTAAGGTTATTTTGCTTGGATTATGGGGGCAGGGAAAGAGAGCATGGAGTATGGTGCCCCAACCCTTACATACCTCCATCTAGAAGTGACAGGCAAACTTTCCACTCATATTTCATTAGCCAGAACAAGGCACCTTGCCACACCTAACTTCAAGGAAATTATGCCCAGGAAGAGAAGAACATGGTGGGCATGAGTGATATCTACCATCTCATCTGTAGCAGCAAAGGAGAATAGGGAAAGGAGCAGGTTTGTAATGATTTGTTGTGCCCAATCATGATTCATTACTTAGGGCTGGGCACATTGCAGCCCTGAACACAATCAGGATTCTTCATTGAGGATAAAGGCAGGAATAGATACGGGTTTACCCCAAGGTAGAACTGGGGTGAGTAACAAAGAGGTTGCAATGGCTGTCACCTGTATCTTCAACCCCACTGACCCTAATCTACCAATTTTGAGCTCTCTCAGCCCTTTACTTTCAGTCCATATATTTGGAATTTGAGTTTGGGATGAGTCTGGATGGGGAAAAAGGGAAAAGAGAGAGGAGAAAGGAAAAGGGTAAGAAGAGAAGAGATGTACTTAGGAGTAAAATAGGAGACAGCTTGAGTGCTCCAGACTCTGACTTCAGCACTTTCAGAACCACTTAAAGGAAAAAATAATTAATGTTTACACATGTCAAACTGAAAGACAAAAGGAAGAAAATGTTTCAAAGAGGTAAGAAAAGTGTGGCAGTCTGGGTGGTCTGGCTGAAAGAGGAAAAACAATGTTCTTGTCAAGTTGTGCTTTGAAGGAGTCCTGGTGGAATGGAGTGGAACATTCTGATCCAAGGCTCAGACAGTGCATGCCCCACTCCTTATCCAGTATTCTAACGTATTTGATGGCTTTGTTCTTTTCTGTCTTTCTTCTGAAGTTCCCAACTCAGTCCACAAATTTTTCTTTTTAGTTAAAATTAAGTCCAAAATAACAACTCCCCTTGTCATTTCTATATTAAGCAGAAAATGACATTCTAGAAAAATGCTTACTCATTTTCAAAAGGCTTCTCATTTATTGTCCTCACAAGAACTTTATTTATTATCCTTATTTTACTTGCTAGGAAATCAAGGCTTATAGAGGTAAATTTATCCAAGGTCACAACACATCTGAAACTAGAACTGTTCACCTTTATGGTCCACTAAGTTAACCACCATGATATTTTGACTTCCAAGGCTTTATTGGATGCATTGCTCTTAATTGAACCTGGGATCTAGAAATTTTCTGGCTAGCTCGGACAGCATTTGTTGTCTGATTGGGGAATACAACCTCTGTTTCCTACTTCTAATGGAACTGCCTTTAGCATCCTCCCACAACTATGTCATTTATGCGTTCTGTCTACTTTTATCCTTAGCCAAATGCTCTCCACTGCACTCCCACCTAACAGTTATGGGTTTCCACATATGTGGATATCTTCTCGACATACAGCATTTATCTCTTTCCTCTCCACTCCAGCCTGTTTCTTTTGATAAGTTATACCCATCTGTGGCCAAGTGCGCTATGATGATTCTACTCATTCAGCTCTGTGATACCTATTAGGTATATTTCCTTCCTTATACTAAAGCTTCAAGGTCACCTAGTTTTTACCCCCGTTCTGCTGTCTCTCCCACTCTAACCTCTCCACATAAATCAGATTACCCGCAATGCCTGCCCTGGGCTTGAGTCAAATCTGGATGCAATTCATCCTCACCCCTCCTTGATTGTTAAATCCATTGCTTTTGTATTTGCTGGTGCCTCTGGGCTCTTAACCTAACTCCTGTTTTCTGTCTAGCTCTATTGATTAGTGACTCGGAGTTGCTCTCCTAATTTTGTCTATTCTATAATAACGAATGCTTCACTGAAGCATTTGATGGTAATGGGAACTGCCATTAGTTATGAGTCTACCATGTGTCAGCCTCTGGGCTAAGTACCTTGCAGGTATTATTGCATTTACTCCTCCTGAGAAAATGGGGTTATTTCCTTCATTTTCTAGAAAGAAACAGGCAGTATCAGTGCTATAGGATATCCTTTACATTTTAATGACTGCTCTAATGTGGACATCTAGAACTTGCTAGGACCTTTACCTTTAGTATTTCATTTGATCTTCCCAGCAGTCCTGCAAACTGTCTAGGCCTCCTCATCTCTACTTTTTCAGAGGGAACTAAGGAGGCTCAAGGAGGTGAGGTCAATTGTGAAGCAGGACTAGATTTAAACTCAGGTCTTCTCTCCAGCCATGCTGGCTGGCTTGCTGGTCCTGTTTCAGGACCTTTGTCCCAGCTGTTCCCTCTGCGTAAACACTCTTCTCCCATATCCACAGAACTCCACTCCGTTTCTCATCTCCACCATGTATTTGCTCAAATGTCACCTTCTCAGTGAGGCCTTCCCTAACCACCCTATTAAAATTGCACCCCACCCACCTCTCTTCCTCACTTCTTCCTCACTTTATTTTTCTCCATAGCACTTATCACTATCTGACATACCACACATTTGACTTACTAGAATGCAAGTTTAAAAATGGTAGGACTTTTTGTTAGTTTTCTTCATTAGTATGTGTACGTTCTCAATAAGTATTTGTTAGATGAATGAATAAAAACTGCTCTAATCCCAAAGCCCATTCCCTTATCACCATAATACACTCAGATCCTTTGTGTCCATCATATCTTCTTTTTACCTTTGTGGTACTTTGTAATACTAAATAACTTTTTAAAGTAAAGGCTTAAATTCAAGCTTATCTTAGAAAAGAAAAAAACAAGTCCAACTTATACTGAACTTGGAAACTCTGCTAGCAACAGTTCTTATCTTTATCAAAGAATGTTTATTATGTGTCCTCTTGTATGTAATGCTTTGCTGTGTACTGTGCAGAAAAATTAAACTGGATGGTTCATCTCTGGCTCCACTTCATCCTCCAATTGGCTGCTCACTGGGAGAGTCAGAACTGGTGCAGATGAATAAGTAGAGGACACATTGTACATACAACACCAACCCAAATCACAGGTAATTAGGAGCCAATATGTATAGGGCAATCAGAGAGAAAAGTCATAAGAGTTTTATTAGTAGACAGGATGAGGTTCACAGAAGTCATCCAGAAAGAACTTTTCCATCCAAAATGTTTCTGAAGTAGACATTGCTGAGAAGCAGTTTATCTCAAAAACATCAGCTTCTAAAAATTTATAGTTTAGTTCCTGGATACAAACATTTTTTGACTGATAAAGCTACAATAACCATGGAGCTGGAAGGAAAAATTGGCCACCCTTTGTCCTTGGGAAAAAATCCATCATCTGTGGTGCCATACAGACCTTGAACCTGATGCTAACTCTATTTTAAAAGCCCATTTCCTAAGGAGATATGATGCTACCATAAGCTACTGGTCATTGCGACAATCGTCATCATTTAGCATTCCTTAAGCAGCCTAACAAAGCATGAAATTAGAGATTCTTAACTACAAGCACCCTGTTTATCATTTTTTCTCTTCCATGCATATATTCCAAGTCATGTATAACAAGACTATGTTACAGAAACATTAAAAATGTACACCCATTAAAGCAACATGGACCCAGTCTGACTGCCAGCAGCAAATCCAGCTGCCACCAACATGGCTCCAGAGCCTTTTAGCTCCTCACCAGTGCCAAAAGACCAGTCATAAGAAAAGACAAATTATGGCAATTAGCATCTGGCATGTATAATTCTAAAATTAATTGTATTAGATTTTAAGCTCCTTTAGAACAAGAATAATATTTTCCTCATTTTTGTGTTCCACGAAGTGCCTATTTCAGTGCTTGGTAAATATATCTCCTCCCTCCAGTAGGCTAGGCTGCAGGACTGACAAGGAAAGGGATTTTTTTTTCCCTTATGGTAAATAGTATACCCATTATCTAACATGCATTTGGCACGAGATAACATTCAATACATATATTTTTTAGCAAATAAAATAAAGAACATTTACTTGAGTGAATACTGGCTGACCTGTAAAAATTAAATTTAACTCAACATTTGGGTTCTTCTGATTTATCATTAAGGTAACCATAAACAAAAGACTGTAGATTCAAATATTCTGTAAAAAGTTGCTGATAGGTCTAAAGTGAAATTCTGAATCAGCTCTTGATCGGGGAGAGGGTGGTTTAAACAAGTCATTTATATATTTTGGGCTTTATTTTCCTTGCTCCTTTCTGATGAATCTTAAAAGAAAATGAAGACTTGGGTTAGATCATCTCTATAGCTCTTTTAGCTCCATGTTTCTGTATTTATTATTTGTATAACCCACAAGGACATAGATGTATCTGCAGATGCTGATTCATTAACTGGCTGGGCCAAATGACTTTTTCTAAAGGAACAAACTACTAACAAACTTCCAGTGGTAGCCAGTTCCAAGATGGCCTCAATCATTCCAGCCCCTAATATTCACACCCTTGTGAGTCCCCTCTCACATCATACTAGAGTTGGTCTGTTTGACCAGTAGCATACAACAGAAGTGATTATGTATTACTTCCTAGACTGGGTTACAAAAATGAAAAGTGAGGAACTGAAGCCATCTGTAATAACCACATGGTTGTCTGGAAATGGATTCTTCAGCGTCAGTCAAACTTTCAGAAGACCGCAACCCTAGCTGACATCTTGACTGCCGCCCCAGGAGTCAGAACCATGTGGCTAAGCTGCTCCTGGGTGCCTGACCCCCAGAAACTATTTAGATGTACATTTTTATTTTTTCATTTGCTAAATTTGGGGGTAATTTGTTATGAAGCAGTAGATAACTATTACACTTTCTCATTCAAAATCCTACCTCCTCCTGGGCACATGACCAGTGTTGATTTCACCATTCCTGGAACTTACGCAGTGTTTGGTAACATATGTCTGATAAGAAAAGACACATGTTAGTGCCAGCATTTGTGTAGCCACTTGCTTTTAAACTCATCTTCATGGCTACATCATTGTATGTTGCAGTGATCTCATTATGATTTCCATCTCTGTTCTTTCAAGGTTGCACCTTGCTGTTGGCAACAATTCCCTTCTTACATGGCTGCCTGTATTACCCCATGTCATGCTTTCTTACTTAGTTGTACCATAAGTCAATTGATTGCTTTAACAGAAACACATTCATAGTACTTGTTTGTTTTTCAGTACTTCCTTAATTCATATATTTGCTCTTTGTGACAAAACGATCTTTGAAGAACTTTGAATACTTTTTTTTGGTCAAAGAATTTTTAAAAATTAAAATGAGTGGAATTCAAGTCCTTTAGGGATTCCATTTCCCACCTTAGGAAGTAATGTATACAAAACTCTTAGAACAGTCTGGCATAGAAATGTTCAATAAAACTGGCCAGGCACAATGGCTCATGCCTGTAATCCCAGCACTTTAGGAGGCCAAAGCAGGAGGATCACCTGAGGTCAGGAGTTCGAGACCAGCCTGGCCAACATGGTGAAACCCCATTTCTACTGAAAATACAAAAATTAGCCGGGCATGGTGGTGCATGCCTGTAATCCCAGCTACTCGGAAGGGTGAGGCAGAAGAATCACTTAGAACCCAGGAGGCAGAGGTTGCAGTGAGCCGAGATCACGCCATTGCACTTTAGCCTGGGCGACAGAGCGAGACTCTGTCTCAAAAAAAAAAAAAAAAAAAGGAATGTAGGAATGTTCAATAAAACCATTATTTATATGGTAGTGCAGGTTGACTATTATGTAAATAAGGAAATGTTTAATACGAGAAAGTGCTTAATACCTGGGCACCAACTAACTGAGGAAGTCCATTAACACAGCCTGGACTCTGTAGTGAATGTCAAGTTCAGAATAGCGACCCTAATTCCAATTAAAGCCCCTCTCCATAGCATTTATTTCTCCATATAGAATCATGAACAAAATTGTTCTCTCTTAAAAGCTTCCTGGCCACGCCTGTAATCCCAGCACTTTGAGAGGCCGAGGCGAGCAGATCACTTGTGCTCAGGAGTTTGAGACCAGCCTGGACAACATGGTGAAACCCCATCTCTTCCAAAAATACAAAATATTAACCAGGCATGGCAGCGTGTGCCTGTAATTCCAGCTACTTGGAAGGCTGAGGTGGGAGGATTAAGCCTGGAAGACAGGGGTTGTAGTGTGCAGAGTTAGCTCCACTGCACTCCAGCCTGGGCAACAGAGTGAGACCCATCTGAAAAAAAAAAAAAGCTTCCTGATATACCAGAGAAACATCATTTTACAATAATACAGCACAAAATGACTCAACAATCTCTGTGGACAGGAATGGCTATCAACACATTGCTGCACCTTTGGTCAAACATATTTTTTAGATTTAAACTTTCAAATTGCTGCCCCACGCTTATAGGAAACTGTGTACATATCTTACCTGGTCTGCAAAGATACAAGCTTCAAATAGTATGCTGGATCTTTCTTACATCAAAGGTATACAAGGACCAATGATGCGGGCTGGTCAATAATATAAATTCTAGTAAAAATAAAAATGACTAGATTTACACAAAGAAAATATCAGCAAGAGTATATAGTGCGTCCTGATTCCTCTGATCATGAGATTGTGAGAGCCTTGTGGGCGGAGAGAGAAGGAAGGCTCTGGGGCCAGTGGCCCTGAGGCAAACTATCATGTCCTTACCCTACAGGAAACAGGAAAGAGAAATGACTACAAGGCAAGAAGTTCTATGCTTAGAGACTTAAGGAAGGCATAAGATGCTGTGAAAACTTTTTTGCTCCTAACTCCCTTATCCTCCTGGTCTCCCAGATCAGTGTTCTTTGAGAAAAGGAATGGGTTCATCCAGAAGGAATTTATTCTAAAATAAATTCTAAAATAAATTCCTTAGGTTCTAGTTCTAGATTTTTAACAGTTATAGCCAAAAGCTAATAATTTATGGCTATCACAGTTCTTCTTGCACGAAAGTCATAATACTCTAAAAGTGAGTTTGCCCAATTACTTGTGGGTCAGAACTAAAGCCAATAAAGGTTTTGAAAAATGATGTTTTCAAATAAAAAATATTTGAGCTGCAGACTATTTCCTCATGATTTCACCAAAGAAATGAAGACAAACTATAACATATTTAAATTACAGCCTAGTATTAGGGCAAGAGAAAACAGTCACTGAGTGTTGTCCAGACAAGCATTCAGAGAGCAGTGATGGTGTTATTTATTTATTCTTATTTTGCTACCTATTGAGAGAAAGATGTGTCAATTTTCATGTCATCATGTCGTAAATAAGTTATTGAGGCTGGATACGATGGCTGAGGCCTATAATCCCCACTTTGGGAGGCCGAGGTGGGTGGCCTTGAGCCCAGAAGTTCAAGACCAGCCTGGGCAACATGGAGAAACCCCATCTCTACAAAAGATAAAAAAATTAGCCAGGCCTGGTGATGTGTGCTTGTAGTCCCAGCTACTAGGGAGGCTAAGGCAGGAGTATCACTTGAGCCTGGGAGATTGTGTCTGCAGTGAGCCATGATCCTACCACTGCACTACTGCCTGGGCAACACACACACACACACACACACACACACACACACACACACAAGGAAAAGAAAAAAGAAAGAACAAGAAATTTAGCATAAAATACACATTATTGTATCTGAGCAGAACTTTGAGAGCAAAAGATCTCTTATAGCCTAATTACAATGAGACCAGTTATGCCTCTTGACCCCTACATTAGTTATGATCTTCAACTTATGTGGCCACTTGTAACTCCAACAAATGTAACTAATTTAACCCAATATTAGTTACTTTTTTGCGTAACAACTACCTGTAAACTACTAAGCTACTGGCTTAACACAACTACCTTTAATTAGGTTCACAATTCCTTGGGTCAGCAATTTCAGTTGGGCTCAGCCGAGCAGTTCTACTGGTCTTGGCTGGGCTCGCTCATGATGAGTATGTGGTCATCTACTGGGTAGGCTAAGTGGCTCCACTTCTGAGGCTGAGTTTGTCTAGGTTAACTTCAGCTGGGACTGCTCATCTCTGTTATACATTGTCGTGTGACTGTGAGCAAGTTACCTAACCTCTCTGGTTCTCTGCTGGATCATTCACATCAGCATACAAATATGCTGTTATTTCTCTCTCATCGCCACCCTGCCGCCCCAAAAACCCACTCTGCTCATTTTTATAGCAAAACTCTTTTTTTCCTAAGCAAATTAACACTGGAGCAAAACTCTTTTTAAAAGGGATCTGTACTCACTGTCTTCAATTCTGTTTTTCCCACTCTTAGTAAAACCCACTCCAAAAGGTTTTAGCCCCCATTACTCTGCCCAAACTGCTTTAGTCAAGGCCACCAGTAATTTTCCATTGTTAAATCTAGCAATCCATTCCCTATTCTCATCTTTCCTGACCCATCAGCAGCTTTTGACACGTGTCATCACTCCCTTCTCCTTGAAACACTTTCTTTACCTGGCTTCCATACAGCACATCCGCCAGGTTGCTTTCCTACACAACCAGCTTCTCCTTCTAGGTCTCCTTAGCTGTTTCCTTTTCATCTTTCTGATGTCTCAATATCAAAGCCTTCCAGAACCGTTTTTGCACTTTTCCCCTCCCCTCCTCCTCTTCTCTTCTCTTCTCCTTACAACTTCCTTGGTGAGCTCATCCAGTCTTCTGGTTTTAAGAATCATCAGTATGCTGATAACTTCCAAATTTGTATCTCTAACCCGGACCTCCACCCAAAATCCAGACTTGTATATCCAATTACCCACCAGGTATCTCCACTTGGATGTTGTATTTTCCTATTGCTGTTGCAACAAATTGTCACAAACTTAGTGGATTAAAACAGCACACATTTAAATCGATCTCACTGAGCTAAAGTCAAGATGTCAGTAGGTCTGCATTCCTTTCTTGAGGCTTAAGGGGAAGAATACATTTTCTTTTTAGCTTCTAGAGGCTGCCTGCAGTCCTTCACATGTAGCACCCTCCATCTTGAAAGCCAACGGTGGCCGGCCAAGTCTTTCTCACATTGCATCTCTCAGAGATACCAACTTCCCTGTCTCCCTCTTCCATATTTAAAGACTTGCAATTACACTGGGATATACCTGAATAATTCAGGAAAAAAATCTCCTGATTTTAAAGTCAGCTAATTAATTCTATCTTAATTCTATCTGCTATGTTAACTCCCCTTTGCCATGTAACCAAACATATTTACAGGTTTCAGGGATTAGGACCTTGAATGGCCCCTTTGGGGGCCATTACTCTGCCTGTCACAGACTTCTTATAGTCCTGTCAAATGCAACATGTCGGAACTGAATTCCTGATTCTACTAAGCCTGCTCCTCTTTAAGTCTTCCTCTTCAGTTAATGCCAACCTCACTCTTCCTGTTGGTCACTGGTCATCCTTACTCTTATCTTTCTATCTCATGTCCAATCTATTAGCAAATCCTATGGACTTTACCTCCAAAATATAACCAGAATCTGATGGTTCTCATCACTTCCAGTGCAGCTATCCTGGCTCAAGACCCTCTCATTGCTCACCCTAATATTGTTAACAGTTTCCAGAGTTCTCAGATTATGGTAATAGCCTCTGTATTAGGCTGTTCCTGCATTGCTATAAAGAAATACCTGAGACTCGGTAATTTATAAAGAAAAGAGGTTTAACCGGCTCATAGTTCTGCAGGCTGTACAGGAAGCATAGCGACATATGCTTCTAGGGAGGCCTCAGGAAGCTTCCAATCATGGCGGAAGACGAAGGAGGAGCAGGCGCATCACATGGTAAAACCAGAAGCAAGATAATGAGGGGGGAGGTGCTACATACTTTTAAATGGCTAGATCTCATGAGAACTCACTCATTATTGCGTGGACAGTACCAAGAGAAATGGTGCTAAATCACTCACAAGAAACCAACCCCATGATCCATTTACCTCTGACCAGGCCCCTCTTCCACCACTGGGGATTATACTTTAATATGAGTTTGGGCGGGGCACGCATCCAAACTATAACAGCCTCCTAAACCATCACTCTGGTTTCTGCCCTAGCCTACCAGCATCTCATCCCCAGTCAACCAAAATATCATCTATTCTCAATATAACATCCAGATAATATTATATATTCATATATACACACATATATATGTGTATATATATAATATATATATATATATATATATATATATATATTTTTTTTTTTTTTTTTTTTTTTTTTTGAGGCAGAGTTACGCTGTATCACCCAGGCTGGAGTGCAGAGGTGTGATCTTGGCTCACTGCAACCTCTGCCTCCTGGGTTCAAGCCATTCTCCTGCCTCAGCCTCCCAAGTAGCTGGGACTACAGGCACCCACCACTGCACCTGGCTGATTTTTGTATTTTTGGTAGAGATGGGGTTTCACCATGTTGGCCAGGCTGCTCTCAAACTCCTGACCTCAGGTTATCCTCCTGCCTTGGCCTTCTGAAGTGCTGGGATTACAGGCATGAGCCACCACGCCCGGCCCCAGATAATATTTTTACAATGAAAGTCAGATCATATTATGTCTCTGTTCAAAACCTTACCAATAAAAATATTTGCTAAAGATACATGTGATAAAGGACTGTTATCCAAAATATAAACAGAACTTTAAAACTCAGAAATAAGAAAACAAGCAGCCCAATTTAAAAATAAGCCAAAGACCTTAAAAGACACCTCACCAAAGACGACATATGGATGGCAAATAAGCATATGAAAAGATGCTCTAGATCATATGTATTATAAGGAAATGCAAATTAAAGTGACAAATCAGATACCACTACATATTATTAGGTTGGCCAAAATTCAGAACATGGACAACACCAAATGCTGGCAAGGATGTGCAGCAACAGGATATATTTTTCTTTACATCACTCATCACTTTCTAACTTATCAAATAATCCCCACAATCATTCATTGCTTGTGGGAATGCAAAATGATGCAGCCATTTTGGAAGACAGTTTGGCAGTCTCTTAGAAAACTAAACACACTCTTTACCATGAAATCCGGCAATCACGCTTCTTGATATTTACCCAAAGTTGAAAACGTATGTTCACACAAAAACCTACACACAGATTTTTACAGCAGCTCTATTCATAATTGCCAAAACATAGAAGCAAACAAGATGTCCTTCAATCAGTGAATGGATAAATAAACTGTGATACATCCAGACAATGAATATCATTCAGTCCTAAAAAGAAATGAGCTATCAAGCCATGAAAAGATATGGAGGAAACTTAAGTGCACATTAATAAATAAAAGAAGCCCATCTGAAAAGGCTACAAACTGTATAATTCCAATTATATGGCATTTTGAAAAAGGCAAACTATGGAGCCAATAAAAGATCAGCAGTTGCCAGGGATTTGTGGAGAGGGATGATTGAAGAGGCAGAACACAGAAGATTTTTAGGGCAGTTAAAATACTGTGTTTGACATAACATGATGGATTACAGGTCATTTTTCCAGACCCATAGACTGTACAACGCCAAGAATAAGACCCAATATAAACTATGAACTTTGGGTGCTAATGATGTGTCAACGTAGGTTCATCAATTATAACAAATGTGCCAGTCTGGTAGGGGGTTGTGATATAGGGAGGCTATGTAGGTGCAAGGGCAGATAGCCTGTGGAAAATCTCTGTACCCTCCTCTCAATTTTGCTGTGAACCTAAAACTGCTAAAACAACAATAACCCCTCCCAAGACTTCTCAGTTCCGTGAAAGCTGACGTCTGCCAGGACCACAGGATCCGGCTCTTCCTCCTACGCCTCTGACCTCTTCTCAGGCTCCCCAACTCCATGCTTACTTCCTTCCACCCACAGGGGCCTCCACACTGTCTGCAAAACTCCAGGTACCTCCTCAGAGTTTCTGCACTTGGCTGTTTGCTCTTGTTGAAATATTCTCTGGCCAGGCATTTGTGTGGGTCTCTCTCTCCTCTCCCACGATCTTTGCTGAGAAATCACCTTCTCAGTGAGGCTTCCTCTGTCCATCATCCTATGTTTGAAATTGCACCCCCACACAAGCACATTCACAGAACCCTCTCCTTCTTTATTGCTTTACTTTTCTCTATTACTTATCACTTTCTAACTTTTCATGTAATTGATGTATTTATATATTTTTTGTCTCCGCTTAGGAGATCAGAATATACCACCCCAAAATATGCCTCTCTGGCATACAGATTATTTCAAGCTGATTATTTTGAGAAACAGCAGACACAAGAGGAGCTATAAAAACAGAGTAGAAGTTACCCTTTTATAAAGAAAATTTACATATATAAAGGAAACCTCCATTTCTGAGGGTGTCTCTCTCTGTACCATGAAGAGAAGAGTGACTCTAAACCACTAGAGATTCTTATCAATGGAAAAGGCACCAACAAACCTGACCCTTGTTTACTGTGCTTTTCCTGGTTACCCCTCCATAATGGCTCCCCCAACTCCTTTGTTTCTTTGTTCCAGCAGACAATGACATTTAATTCTGAATTCAAAGGTACCTCTGTGAGACTTGCTCATTTTACTAGGTATTTCCCGTGCATATATAAGATATACAAGTTGGCCAGGTGCAGTGGCTCACACTTGTAATCTCAACACTTTGGGAGGCCAAAGTGGGAGGTTGCTTGAGCCCAGGAATTTGAGACCAGCCTGGGCAACATGCTGAGCAACATATTACTATATGGGCAACATATTACTAAAAATAAAAAATAAAAAATTAGACAGTCATTGTGGCATGTACCTCTAGTTCCAGTTACTCAGGGGTCTGAGCTGGGAAGACCACTTGAGCCTGTGCATTCGAGGCTGCAGTGAACTATGATCACACCAGTGTACTCCAGCCTGGGCAACAGAGTGAGACCCTATCTCAAAACAAAACAAAACAAAACAAAACAAAACAAAAAAACCCCCCACAACCCCACCAGTTAATAAACTTACTTATTTTTTTCTCTTGTTAACCAAGAGTTTGCCCCAACTAAGAATATAAAGGGTAGAAATAAAAATTATTTTTTTCCTCCCCTACATCTGTCACCACTACATGGTAAATTCCATGAAGGCAAAGAAGTTTTGATTATTCCTAGTTCTTAGGCCAGTAGTAGACACTTAGTAAATATTGGTTAAATAAATGACTGTATTAGTTTGCTAAGAGCTGTCTTAAGAGAGCACCACACACTAAGTGGCTTCAATAAGAGAAATGTATTTTCTCACAGCTCTGGAAGCTAGAAGTCCAAGGTCAAGGTGTTGGCATGGTTGGTTCCTCCTGATGCCTCTCTTCTCCTTGGCTAATAGATAGCCATCTTTTCCCAGTGTCTTCACATGGTTTTTCCTCTGTACATGTCTGGTCCAAATGTCCTCTTCAGGCTGGGCGTGGTGACTCATACCTGTAATCCCAGCACTTTGGGAGGCCAAGGTGGGCAGATCACCTGAGATCAGGAGTTCGAGACCAGGCTGGCCAAAATGGTGAAATCCCATCTCTACTAAAAATACAAAAATTAACCAGACATGGTGACGGGTGCCTGTAATCCCAGCTACTTAGGAGGCTGAGACAGGAGAATCGTTTGAACCCGGGAGGCAAAGGTTGCAGTGAGCCGAGACAGCACCACTGCACTCCAGCCTGAGCAACAAGAGCGAAACTCCGTCTCCAAGAATAATAATAACGAATAAAAATAAAATAACAGAAAAAACTCAAATATCCTCTTCTTATAAGGACACCAGTCATATTGGATTAGGGACTACCCTAATTATCTCATTTTAAATTAATTATCTCTTTAAAGACTCTATCTCCAAATACAGCCACATTCTGAGGTACTAGGGATTAGGATTTTAACATAACAATTTTGAAGGGATACAATTTAGCCCATAACAATAACCCTGCCTCAGTTTCTTCAGCAGTAAAATGGGAATGATAGGAATAGTAACTACATCACAGGGTTGTTAGGAGAATTAATGTATGTAAAGTGCTCATCGCAGAGCCTGCACAGACAAAGCACTAAATAGATGTTTGCTATCATAATCTCTACCATTGTTGCTGGTTCCTCTTTTTTTTTTTTTTTTTTTTTTTGAGGCAGAGTCTCACTCTGTTACCCAGGCTGGAGTGCGATGGTGTGATCTCGGCTCACTGCAACCTCCACCTCCCGGATTCAAGCAATTTTCCTACCTCAGCCTCCTGAGTAGCTGGGATTACAGGCACCCGCCATTATGCCCAGCTAATTTTTGTATTTTTGTAGAGATGGGGTTTCACCATGTTGGCGAGGCTGGTTTTGAACTCCTGACCTCAGGTGATCTGCTCACCTCGGCCTCCCAAAGTGCTGGGATTATAGGCGTGAGCCACTGCGCCTGGCCTGGTTCTTCTCTTGTTACTCAATGAGCACCAAACATTACTCCTCTTAAAGTTACAATAATATTATAATAATACATTGAGAATGTGCTATGGTCTAGCAATGAAGACTTATGTAAATACTTGTCTCTTTATATACTTTAAAAAGGCCCTCAGTGAGTTAGGGTCTTGCATTTATTGCTACTGAACTCTCCAGGTATGTATGTTGATCATAGAATGTACTTTCCTTCATTATGCTTATTTTTAATTTTAAATACACACATGGTAATGTGGACAAAGGAACTAAGTTTTAGACACTCAGGTGCTCAAAACTAACCACAAAGGGCAGACATAGATTAACTAAATCCTCATGACTGACATGGTTTCACATTCCATTGTCATTTGTTGTTGGATTTAGGTGATGACCTTCAAGTCTAAAAATGACACCATTCTTTACCAGTTTGAATATTGACACAACTGCAGACCATCGTAATCTTATTTCAGGATGTTAAAATTCCAGTATTCAGAGCATTTGAAGCTGTGCAAATGTCTTTCTGGGGCACATAAAAAAATCAAAGTATTATCATTGGTTTTATTCCCTCACTGCCTTGTAGCATATACAAACTGAATCTCAGAGATTCCGGTAAACTTATTTCCATTTCTATGTCAGTGAAGCCAAAAGAGAAAAAGTTATTATCTGGAAGCACACAGTGGAGAGCCAAACCTCAGACTTACACATCAATGAAAATTAAAGTGTCTCTTGACAAGATAGGTCAAATATCAATGATGTGTGGCTACTTAGTGGTCAATCTAATTCACTCTCTAATAAATATGAAGCACCCCATAGTCAGTTTTATAATAAATAGAGTCACAGCTGACTGTTTGTCTTTGATTAAATATCACCTTTGCTATTTAATTCAGTTATTTCAGAAAGAGTTTTGACATTTGACTCTAAATAACACATTTTGTTTTTTTTGAAAAATAAAGGTCTTTCAATGTCTATCTCCTTCCATTTCCTTTAATTCATAAAAACATGGTATTTCATAGATGTGACTTCTCTTGATCTTAGCAACAGTCATATTATTAGTAACACTATGTGTTCTACATTGCTTACTTCTATGCTGTGTTTTATAAACAGAGAGCTATAATAGGTATTATGAGGAATATTAGAACAGTGCTGTCCAGTAGAATGTAGTAGTGAGATAACCTTCTCTCTTCCCTCTGTAATAACTGAGTCTGTTGAAATAAACTGACAGTAGATTGACAGGAGAAAAGGTATACAAGTTTATTACATGCACAGTGACATTACAGGAATCTGACTGTCCAATAATCCAATGAGATTCAGAAGCTTAAATAACCTTCTTAATAGGGGAGAGGGAAGTGGGGGCTGTAGGCATTTTAGTTAAAAAGTAAGTGATTTTTAGGGGAGATGAATGGGCCCAAAGAACAGACAATAGCCTAGGAAAAAATTCCTCTGGGCTCTAGGTCTGGTGTTGTAACTAGTCTTCTTTCCTGTGAGTTAATCATCCCTGTTCAATGAGGCTATAGGGAGGGGGGCTCAAGACAATTGCATTCCTTCTGAGGGAGCTTTCCTTCCTCGATAAAGAAACTTCAGAGAAAGCTTGTCCCTGTGGGATGGACTGGAGGGCAGGAGGAGTTCAGAGAGACCTTGGTTCTGAGGCTACTTTTTAGTTTAAAGTACTCAGCATGTCAAAGTGCCATGCTTTGGGGTATGATTTTCTGAGCCCCAACAAGAACCCTCTGTAATGATAGAAATATTTTGTATCTATACTGTCTAACATGATAGCAACTAGCCACATGTGGCTATTGAGCACTTGAAATCTGGTTAATGCAAATGAGAAACTGAATTCTTTTTTTTTTTTTTTGAGACGGAGTCTCGCCCTGTCGGGCAGGCTGGAGTGCAGTGGCGCGATCTCGGCTCACTGCAAGCTCCGCCTCCCGGGTTCACGCCATTCTCCTGCCTCAGCCTCCTGAGTAGCTGGGACTACAGGAGCCCGCCACCACGCCCAGCTAATTTGTTGTATTTTGTTTAGTAGAGACGGGGTTTCACCGAGTTAGCCAGGATGGTCTCGATCTCCTGACCTCGCGATCCGCCTGCCTCGGCCTCCCAAAGTGCTGGAATTACAGGCGTGAGCCACCGCGCCCGGCCGAAACTGAATTCTTAATTTTATTTAATGCTAATTTATCTTGTTTATTTATTTTGAGGTGAAGTCTCACTCTGTTGCCCAGGCTGGAGTACAGTGGCACAATCTTGGCCCACTGAAACCTCCGCCTCCGAGTTCAAGCGATTCTCCTGCCTCAGTCTTCTTAGTACCTGGGATCACAGGTGCCTGCCACCATGCCTGGCTAATTTTTGTATTTTTAGAAGAGATGGGTTTTCGCCTGTTGACCAGGCTGCTCTTGAACTCCTGGCCTCAGGTGATTCTCCCACCTAGGCCTCCCTAAGTGCTAGGATTATGGGCATTAGCTACCATGCCTGGCCAACTTACTTTATTTAGTGCTAATTATTTAAAATTTAAATATTTGAAATTAAACAGTTAATGGCTACTGTACTGGGCATTGCAGTTCTAGAACAAAAGTAGCCATTAGTTTTCTGCCAGAACTTAGAATCCAAATGGATTGTGTGCAGAAGTGGGTGGCCGTCAAGGAGCATGGTTTGAGAACAACTGCAAACTATTGAGTAAAATTTAAAATCATACCAAATATATATAAAAGTTGACATTATCTAATGGAGTGATCTGAGGGAGATGAGGTTAATGCAAGGAAAACTTGCGGAGAAAATGGGATTTCAGGACCTGCTATGACGGAGGAGGAGCAGACAGAAATGAAGAAGGGTCTGACAGGTGTGGAAGATATGAACCAATAAGGAACAGTCGATGAGAGAGAGGGAGGAGGTTCACACCCATCCTGATGGAAGACTCTGAGGCACAAGTGAAGCAAATGTGGTTATTGACCCTGACTGAAGCCTTTCTTGGATAGTGTGGACACTCTAAGGGAAAGGTGACTGGAGAAGAAGAAAATAAACCAGAGAGAAAAACATTATGTAAAAAGCAATGTTCAAGTGCTTTGACATGCCATATCTTTCATTGTTTCCTGTATTTCCTAAAAATGGTTTCAAGTGCTAATAGATTAGCCTGTTTATATATAGAAATGTTTTATTTTAGGCCATATTATCTTCTGATATTTAACTATTTATAGCTTTAAAATAAAACAAATAATTTGAAGTTGATAATCTTTAAGGATATAAGATTTTGTTTGAAAAGACCTTTTAACTTATTTTCTTATTTTCTTGCAGTCTTATAAATACTCAAAGGTGTCAACGTTTCCAATGGACTCTTGGATTCAAATAAAAATATATTGGAGGCTGGGCCCAGTGGCTCACACCTGTAATCTCAGCACTTTGGGAGGCCGAGGCAGGTGGATCACTTGAGATCAGGAGTTCGAGACCAGCCTGACCAACATGGCGAAACCCCATCTCTACTAAAAATACAAAAATTAGCTGGGTGTGGTGGCAGACACCTGTAATCTCAGCTACTCAGGAGGCTGAGGCAGGAGAATCGCTTGAACCCAGAAGGCAGAGGTTGCAGTGAGCAGGGATCGTGCCATTGCACTCCAGCCTGGGCGACAGAGCGAGATTCCATCTCAAAATAAATGAATAAATAAAAATATAGGTTGGGCACGGTGGCTCACTCCTGTAATCCCAGCACTTTGAGAGGCCAAGGCAGGTGTATCATTTGAGGTCAGAAGTTCGAGACCAGCCTGACCAACATGGTGAAACCCTGTCTCTACTAAAAATACAAAAAAAAAGTAGTTGGGCATGGTGGCTAATGCCTGTAGTCCCAGCTACTTGGGAGGCTGAGGCAAGAGAATCACTTGAACCCAGGAGGCAGAGGTTGCAGTGAGCTGAGATCATGCCCCTGTACTCCAGCCTGAGCAGCAGAGCAAAACTCCTTATTTTATATATATATATATGTGTGTGTGTGTGTGTGTGTGTGTGTATATGCGTATATATATATGTGTGTATATATATGTATGTGTATATATAGATGTGTGTATATGTGTGTGTGTGTGTGTGTGTGTGTATATACATATGACCTCCCCAAATGAATATCTAGGAATATTGATTACTAACACCCAAAGTTCATCTGTTTCATGTGTTTCCTGTGAAGAACATTCTTTTTATTTTTATTTTATTTTAGTTTTTGTTCATTTTGCTTTTTTGTTAGTCAATAATCTTAAATATGTGTAGAACACTATAATGGGCACCTGGGAAGATAAAAAATATATAGAAGACATAGTCTATAATGAGATTTTAAAAACCATTTACTTATCTGCATATCTTTTTATTCTTGAATAAACTTTTACAAGACAGATATAGCCCTATGATTATAACATTATAGTATGTTGGCACACACAAAAAATTGAGCTAACAGGAAATGATTGAGTTTTCACAAACATCAATGTTTTACTGTGCACACAAAGACACTGAGAAAGAAATATCTGGCCAAGAGAGAGGTGAGAAAAATCAGTGTTTAACATTGCAAAGGATTTGCAAATGTGCAAAAGTTTAAATTTTTGCAAATTAAAAACATGAGAACACAACCTGCTTAAAGTTTTCCTTACAAAAATTCCCTCATTTGAAATTCCCTTTCTTCATCTAAATTTTAGGCCAAAGGTAAAGTCATAATAGAAGACTATGGAAAGAAAAGCAGATACATATCATTTAGGAATAACAATATGGAGGGAAAAAAGTATAAAATGAAGCTTGAAGGTGGTTGGCATTTATTTTCCCTCATCTCTTAAAATGTTGAAGACATTGCATTCTATTTCAATATAATATATTTAGTGTATTAACATCTTCACCAATTACACTAAGCTATCTGACCTGACCTCTACTTAAGATAAATGCTTTTTTGGTGATTTCCTAATGTCATTACTATTATATACAACACAAAAAACAAATGTGGTAGTTATTCTTGATTGGATCCTAGATTTAAAAAACAGAACACAAAAAAAAAAACCTCAACAGGGCATTTTAAAGACAATGGAGAAGATTTGAACATTGGGTAGATATTAGATAATTTTATTATGTTAACGTAAAACTTCTTTGGTGTGATAATAGAATAGTGATTATAAAAAAGAATGTCCTTTCTCTTAGAAAACAATGGTGAAGTACTTGGAGATGGAGTCTCATGATGTCTGCAATACACTTTCAAGTGGCTCAGTTTTATTTATTTATTTACTTAGAGACAGGGTCTCGCTCTGTCACTCAGGCTGGAGTGCAGTGGCCCAACCATGGCTCACTGCAGCCTAGACCTCCCAAACTCAAGTGATCCTCCTGCCTCAGCCTCCTGAGTAGCTGGGACCACAGATGTGTGCCACCACACCCAGCTAATTTTTCAATTTTTTGTGGAGACAAGGTCTCACTATGTTGCCTAGGTTGGTCTCCAACTCCTAGGCTCAAGTGATCCTCCCACCTTGGGTCCCCACAGTGTTGAGATTATAGGCATGAGCCACTGCACCTGGCTAGGCTCAGCTTTAAAAAGAGGCACATTGCTGCACAGGCAGATAGGACGTAGATAGACAGATAGACAGACAGACAGAGAGAGAAAGCAAATGTGGCAAATGCTGACAATTATTGTATGCAATTAGCGTATCCAAGCCATCCTGTCCTAACTCTTGCCATGGTTGGGACACAAATGCAAATGAAGACTATTCAGCCACGTGCCTAAATACTTAAAGTTTTATAAGGCAAGTTAACAAAATAAAAAAAGATGTACTAACTGTTACTTTGACCGCATATCTTCATAATAACTTAGAAGCCAAGATCACATTTAAAATTTGCAAACTCCTATAAGATTTATGCTAGCACACAGCAATGCAAGGAGAGCCAGCCTCCAGTCATCTGGCCAGGAGCTGGGTTTCCCTTCTCCTCCTAGCCCTCGGTCCATCCTGCACATATGTGTGGACACCCCAGTTCATATGTTCAAACACCATCCATGCTACAGTTATCCACTCCCACTCCCACTCCCACAGTTGGTCCTTGGCCACCTTTTGGTCTAGGAGTGTGCATAGTGAATATGGTCTAACCTCAAGTAAGCAGACTCCAAAAAGATGAAAGTAGCAGGGATTCTGTACTCTAGGATATCTGAATCATGAAATAAAAATAATAAGGAGAGGTGGGAGATAGGCCCCAGATGGACATGCCCGTCAGCCAGAATATTCCCCAGCCCTTGGGGATGGGCAAGGCTGAGGACAAGCAAAGGAGATCTGTAAAGTGTGGGGCAGTACTGGATTTAGGTGAAGTGATATGGATTTTTGTTGAACGTATTCTTTCAATTTTTTTCCAGGTTTATTGAGGTATAATTGACAAATAAAAATTGTATATATTTAAGCATACAGTGTAATATTTTGATATATGTATATATTGTAAATGAGTACCACAATCAAGCTAATTACCTCACATTGTGTGTGTGTGTGTGTGTGTGTGTGTGTGTGTGTGTGGTGAGAACACTTAAGATCTACTCTTGAGGGCGTGGTGGCTCACGCCTGTAATTCTAGCACTTTGGGAGGCCAAGGCAGGTGGGTCCCTTGAGCCCAGGAGTTCCAAACCAGCTGGGCAACATGATGAAATCCTCTCTCTACAAAAATTAGCCACGTGGCATGTCTGTAGTCCTAGCTACTCAGGAGGCTGAGGTAGGAGGATCGCCTGAGCCGGGGTGGTCATAGCTGCAGCGAGCTGTGATGGCACCACTGCGCTATAGCCTGAGCGACAGAGCAGGACCCTGTCTAAAAAAAAAAGCATACAATGCAATATTATTTGCCATAGTCATCATGCTGTACATTAGAACTCCAGAACTTACTCATCTTAGAGCTGAAACTCTGTACTCTTTCACCAGCATCTCCCCATTTCCCCATCCCTCAGTGCCTGGCAACCACCATTCTGCTCTGCTTTTGTAAGTTTGATATTTTTAGATTCCATATATAAGTGAGATTACGCAGTATTTATTTTTCTTTCTGTGCCTGGTTTATTTCACTTAACGAAATGTCCTCCACATTCACCCATGTTGTCCTAAATGACAGGATTTCCTTCCTTTTTAAGGCTGACTCATATTTCATTGTATTATACACACACACACACACACACACACACACACACACACACACACACACATATATATATGCCACATTTTCTTCATTCATTCACAGATGGATGCTTAGCTTGATTTCAAATCTTGGTTATTGTAAATAATGCTGCAATAAACATAGAAGTGCAGATATCTCTTCAACACACTGATTTCATTTCCTTTGGATATGTACCCAGAAGTGAGATTGCTAGCTCATATGGTAATTCTATTTTAATTTTTTTGAGGAACTCCTGTACTATTTTCTATAATAGCTATACCAGTTTACATTTCCACTAACTGTATACAAGTATTCCCTTTTCTTCACATCCTTGCCAACACTTGTTATTTGATAATAGCCATTCTAACAGGTGTGAGGTAATATCTCATTGTGGTTTCGATTTGCATTCTCCTGATGATTAGTGATGATGAGCAGTTTTTCATATTCCCCTTGGCTATTTGTATGTCTTCTTTGGAGAAATCCCTATTCAGGTCTTTTGCCCATTTTTTAAACTAGTCATTTGTTTTCTTGCTTGTGGAGTTGTTTGAATGCCTTATATATTTTGGATATTAGCCCATTATCAGATATAGGGTTTGCAAATATTTTCTCCTATTTCATAGGTTATCTCTATTTTCTGTTGATTGCTTCCTTTGCTGTGCAGAAGCTTCTAAGTTTGATGCAATTTCATTTACCTAAAAATAGGTAAATTTACCTATTTTTGTTGTCTAGGATTTTGAGGTCATATCTGTATGGTTTTGTTCATATCATTGTCCAAACCAATATTCATATGCTTTTGTTCATATCATTGTCCAAACCAGTGTCAGCTTTCCACTCATGTTTTCTTCTAGTGGTTTTACCGTTTCAGGTCTTATGTTTAACTCTTTAATATATTTTGAGTTAATTTTTGCATGTGGTGTGAGATAAGTGTTCAATTTTATTTTTCTGCATGTAGATATTCAGTTTTCCCATGATCATTTATTGAAGAAGCTCTCTTTACCCCATTGTGTGTTCTTGGCACCTTCGTCAAAGATCAATTGACCACAAATATATGGATTTACTTCTGGGCTTTTTATTCTGTTTCATTGGTCTGGGTGTCTGTTTTTATTCCAGTACCATACTATTTTGATTGCTATAGCCTTGTAGTCTATTTTGAAATCAGGTGCTGTAATGTCTCTTGCTTCATTCTTCTTCCTCAAAATTCCTTTGACTATGAATTTTAGGATTGTTTTTTATATTTCTTTGGAAAATGCCATTAGAATTTTTATAGAGATTGGATTGAATCTGTATTATTTTAGGTAGAATGGATTTTTTAACAATATTAATTTTTCCAATCCATGATCATGGAATAGTCTTTCATTTATTTATGTCTTCTTCATTTTCATACATATTTTATAGTTTTCAGTGTACTGTCTTTCATTTTGGTTAAATTTATTTCTAAATGGTTTTGTTTGGTTGGTTGGATTTTGTCTTGAGACAGTCTTGTTCTGTCACCCAGGCTAGAGTGTAGTGGTGTGATCATAGCTCACTGCAGCCTTGAACTCCTAGCCTCAAGTAATCTTTTTGCCTCAGCCTTCCAATTAGCTGGGACTACAGGCAGGGTCTCTCTCTGTTGCCCAGGCTAGAGTGTAGTGGCACAAACATGGTTCGCTGCAGCCTGAACCTCCCAGGTTCAGGCAATCTTCCCTCCTCAGCTTCCTGAGTAGATGGGACTACAGGTGTGCACCACCATGCCCAGCAAATTTATTTTTATTTTTTGTAGAGATGAGGGTTTTACTATGTTGCCCAGGCTGGTCTTGAACTCCCAGACTCAAGCAATCCTCCCACTTCAGCCTTCCAAAGTGCTGGGATTATAGGCCTGGGGATTGTTTTCTTAATTTCTTTTTTGAATAGCTCTGGTTAGTGTACAGAAATGCAACTACTTTCTGTATGTTGATTTTGTATCCTGTAACTTTACTGATTTTGTTTATTCTAACAGGTTTTTTGATGGAGGAGTTTTCAGGGCTTTTTCTATATATATTATCAGGTTGTCAGCAAACAAAGACCATTTTGTTCTTTATTTCCAATTTGGATGTCTTTTTTTTTTTTTAATTGAATGGAAGTGCTGAAAGTGAACATCCTTGTCTTGTACCAGATCATAAAGAAAAGCTTCTAGATTTTTAACATTGGGTACAATATTAGTTGTGTGCTTGTCATATATGGTCTTTATTATGTTGAGGTATGTTCCTGCTACACCTAATTTGTTGATTTTTGTAATTTTTAAAAATTTTTATATAGAGACGGGGTTTCCCCATGTTGCCCAGGTTGGTCACGAACTCCCAGGCTCAAGTGATCCACCCACCTTGGCCTCCCAAAGTGCTAGGACTATAGGCGTGAGCCACCGCGCCCAGCCCCATAATTTGCTGAGATACTTTTATCACGAAAAGATGTTGAGTGCTCTCCAGTGGTTCTTCTCTATTGAGATGATAATAGGATTTTTATGCTTCATTCTGTTAACGTGGTATATCACATTTATTGATTTGTATCTTTGCATCCCAGGGATAAATCCCACTTGATTATGGTGTATGATGCTTTTTAATGTGCTGTTGAATTTGGTTTGCTAGTATTTTGTTGAGACTGTTCATCAGGGTTATTGATGTGTAATTTTCTTTTCTTGTATCTTTTTCTAGCTTTGGTATCAGGGTAATTCTGGCCTCATAACTTGACTGAAGTAATTCCTCATTTTCAATTTTTTGGAAAAGTTTGATAAAGAGTGGTGGTAACTGTTCTTTAAATGCTTGGTAGGGCCAGGCATAGTGGCTCGCACCTATAATTTCAGCTCTTTGGGAGGCCAAGGCAGGAGGATGGCTTGAGGCCAGGAGTTTCAACCCAGCCTGGGCAACATAGTAAGACCCTGTCTCTATAAAAATACATATATATATCTACTTTAAATTAATTAATTAATTAATTTTATTTATTTATTTATTTTTGAGATGGAGTCATGCTCTGTTGCCCAGGCTGGAGTGCAGTGATGGGATCTCGGCTCACTGCAAGCTCCACCTCCCTGGTTCAGGCCATTCTCCTGCCTCAGCCTCCTGAGTAGCTGGGACTACAGGTGCCCACCACCATGCCCGGCTAATTTTGTTTTATTTTTTTATTTTTAGTAGAGACGGGTTTTCACTGTGTTAGCCAGGATGGTTTCGATCTCTTGACCTCGTGATCTGCCCGCCTCGGCCTCCCAAAGTGCTGGGATTACAGGCGTGAGCCACTGTGCCCAGCCAAAAAATTAAGAAAATTGTTAAATACTTGATAGAATTAATCAGTGAAGCTATCAGGACCTGAGATTTTCTTTGTTGTGAGGGTTTTTGATTACTGATTCAATCTCGTTACTCGTTACTGGTCTGTTCAGATTTTTACTTTTTCATGATTTAGTCTTGGTAGGTTGTATGTTTCTAGGAATTTATTCAGTTCTCCTAGGTTATCCAATTTGTTCAAATATAATTGTTCAGAGTAGTTGCTTATGATCCTTTGTTTTTCAGGGGTATCAGTTGCAATGTTTTCTTTTATTTTTAATTTATTTGAGTCTTCTCTCTTTTTAATTAGTCTAGTGAAAGGTTTATTTATTTTATCTTCAAAGAAAACCAACTCTTAGTTATGTTTATCTTTTCTATTGTTTTCTAGTTTCTCATTTATTTCTGCTCTAATCTTTATTATTTCCTCCTTTCTGCTAACTTTGGTCTTAGTTTGTTCTTTTTTTAGTTTCTCTTGAGGTGTAAAGTTAGGTTGCTAATCTTAATGTAAGCATTAATTGTTATAAACTTCCTTCTTCAAAATACTTCTGTTGCATTCTTGGTATACAACTTTTGGTATGTTTTGTTTCTTTCATTTTTGTTTGCCTCAAGATTTGTTTGTTGTTGTTGTTGTTATTGTTTTGCTGTTGTTGTTGTTTGAGACAGGATCTCACTCTATCCCCCAGGCTGGAGATTAGTGCAGCCTTGACCTCCTAGGCTCAAGTGATCCTCCCACCTCAGCTTCCCTAGTAGCTGGAACTATAGGTGCACACCCCACAACACCCAGCTCATTTTTTTTCTTATTTTTTGTAGAGATGGAGTCTCAGTATGTTGCCAGGCTGGTCTGGAACTCCTGGGCTCGAGTGATCCTTCCACCTTGACCTCCCAAAGTGCTGGGATTACAGGAGTGAGCCATCGAGCCTGGCCTCAAGATAAATATTTTAATTTCTTCTTTTACTCACTGGATGTTCAAGAGTGTGTAGTTTAATTTCCATATATTTGTAAATTTTCAAATTTTCCTCCTGTTACTGATTTCTGGTTTTATACCATTGTGGTCAGAAATGATACTTAATATGATTTCAATCTTCTTAAAATTTGTTAAGATTTGTTTTGTGGCCTAACATATGATCTATCTTGGAGGATATTTCATTGTGCTTCAAAAGAATGTATATTCTGCTGCTGTTGGGTAGAACATTCTGTATATGTCTTTTAGGTCCATTTCGTCTACGTTGTTGTTCAAGTCTGCTGTTTCTTTACTGAGTTTCAGTCTGGATGATCTACCCATTGTTAAAAGTGGGGTATTAAAGTCCTCTACTATTATTGTATTTCTGTCTATTTCTCCCCTCCATTCTGTTAATATTTGCTTTCTATATTTAGGTGCTCCAATATTGAGTGTATACACCTTTATAATTATTTTATCTTCTTGATGAATTGACCACTTTATCATCGTATCATAACCGTCTTTCTCTGTTGTAATAGTTCTTGACTTAAAATCTATTTTGTTTAATATAAGCATAACAACCCTGCTATCTTTTGGTTACCATTTACATAGAATACCTTTTTCCATCCTTTCACTTTCACCCTATGTGTGTCCTTAAAGTTAAAGTGAGTCTGTTGTAGGCGTTATATCATTGAGTCTTGGTTTTTTATGTATTCATCCACCCTCTCTATCTTTTGCTTGAAGAATTTACTCCATTTACATTTAAAATAATTATTGATAGGTAAGGGCCTACTACCACTTTGTTAATTGATTTCTGCTATTTTGTTAATTGTTTTATAGTTCCTTTGCTCCTTTCTTCCTCTTGTGCTGTCTTCCTTTGTGATTTTTTTGAGTTTTTGCTGGAGTCCTTGGCTGGACTGGCCTGGTGCTTGGAGCTTGAGTCCTCTGAAGCGGGACTGGAGCTTGAATCCATGTGGTTGATCAGTGTGGAGCTTGGCACTACTGGTGCTAGTCTGGTGCCTAAGGCCTTGGGATCAGCATGGAGCCTGGGGCCATGGGGGCTGGCCTGGCACTGGGGCAGCTTGAAACCTGGGTATGCAGGGGCAGGCCTGAAGCCTGGGTTTGAGGGCCCAAGCATGGAATCTGGGGATACAGGGGCTGGGCTGGACAGTCAGGCTATGGCAGCCAGCATGGTGCATGGGGCCATGGGGACCTAGAGCCTTGGTTCAAGGACAAAGCTGGTGCTGGGACAGGCTTATACCCTGGGTCCATGTCGAGGGGGCGGTCACTTAGTGACAGGGTTCATGAGGGCAGGCCTGGTGCTGGGGTCCATGGCAAAGATGAGTGCTCACTTCACTCTCCTTCCCCCACACAGAAGGTATCTCCCTTCACTCTGTGAGCATGGGCTTAGGGAAGGGGTAATGTGAGAAACTGTCTTTCCTACTCTCTTCAGAGCATGTTTTCTTATTTCTGTGCTCTGCTCTGGTGCTGTGGTCTGTCACCTGCATTCCTTAGCTCTTGTGAAGGTGTTTCTGAGCATGAATAGTTGTTTGAATTTACCTTTCTATGAGGGTTGAGCATTGGAAACTCCTATTCCATCATCCTGCTGATGTTACTCTGGAACCTGTCTATTCTTTCCATTTTTAACCTTAACATTTTGGGATATTTTTTCTAGTCTTTTTTCTACTTTTCTAAAAACCCATTTTGGATTACTTAAAATTAAAAAAAAATTGTATTATGTTTTTTTCACTTAGTTTAACAATAATCACTTACCACATGATTGAAATCTCTTTGCAAGTGTTATTTTTCATATTCATAATATCCACTGCTGTTAGAGTACCAGTATATGTTTTTAATTTCTACCAAGATATTGTTTCTAATTTTTTGCTTCAATTATTAATGCCATAATAAATATGTTTCTATTGTTTACTTCCAAAAATCGAGCCTTTCACATGCAAGCATGTCAAGGCTCTTGACATATAATGACAAAGTGCTTTCCAGAAATCTGTTTATGATATTTACATAATGTTTAAAAGCATCTGTTTCAGAAAGTATTATGGCAATCACTGTGGATGGTCTTACTTAACAACCATCTTAACTACTCAGTGGTATGCTGGCTCCTTCTCCTCTTCCTCCCAAAATCCTTGCTTTGTAGATTTTGCCGATACCTGCAGTATAAAAGCTCCCACTATGGCTGATTTCAAACTACTAAAGTGGACACCACTAAACATGGATTTGAGGACAGAGACTAACATTTGGCTTTTGAGAGCTGATAGAAGCTGGCTGTAGCAGGCCACTGAACTTCTTTTTCTAAAAACCCACATATCATATCTCACACTCCATCGAAGCTACAGTTCCACCAATCATTTCCATGTAGATGAGACTTCAGCGGAGAACCGTTAGATGCCATCTACTTGACAGCACAGATGGTGGCAGAACAGGGTGGTTCTGCAGCCAGTGATGTCCTGATCTGGCATCTTACTATACCTGTATTGAGGACAACAGGAGTGGTAAAATTGTTTCTGCAGTCAGCAGTACCAACAGCAGCTTCCTGATTTAACATTTGTGGAGGCTGCAGCAGTGGCTTTCCCGTTCAGGCATAGGGAGCTTCTGGGGCCTGGATTTTGCTCCTGCCTGCTCAGCCTAAGGACCAGTGACTACTTTACAGGATTTCCTAGAACCCAATCCCCTATGTTAAATTCTTTCATATAGAGTGAGTTCTACTGTGTGCAATTGAATCCTGTTCAATACAAGTCCCAGTCTATGCATGTTTTACCACTTCCAGATGTCCAAAATTGTACTCGGGTTACAATAGCCTAGAAAAACTTTCTGTAGGAGAAAGCTTATAATATCTAAATAATAACTTGAATTTTTAATTTCAATTAAAAATTAATTGGTCCCAAGGCCCTAGGCACTAGACTAGCACCAGTAGTGCCAAGCTCCACACTGTCCAACTACATGGATTCAAGCTCCAGGCCTGCTTCAGAGGACTCAAGCTCCAAGCACCAGGCCAGTCCAGCCAAGGACTCCAGCAAAAACTCAAAACATCACAAAGGAAGATAGCACAAGAGGAAGAAAGGAACAAAGGAACTATAAAACAATTAACAAAATGGCAGAAATCGATTAACAAAGTGGTAGTAGGCCTTTACCTATCAATAATTATTTTATTTTTGTAGAGACAGGGTCTCTTTATTAGTCTGTTCTCATCTGAGACTGGGTAATTTATAAAGGAAAGAGATTTAATGGACTCACAGTTCCACATGGCTGGGGACGCCTCACAATCAGGGTGGAAAATGAAGAAAGAGCAAAGGGACTTCTTACATGGCAGAGGGCAAGAGAGAGCTTGTGCAGGGGACCTCCCATTTATAATACCATCAGATCTCGTGAGACTTACATTCACTACAACGAGAACAGCGCCAGAAAGACCCGCCCCTGTCATTCAATTACTTCCCACTGGGACCCTCCTATGACATGTGGGAATTATAGTAGCTACAATTCAAGATGAGATTTGGGTAGGATCACAGCCAAACCATATCGGTCTCATTGTCTTATCCAGGCTGGTCTTGAACTCCTGGCCTCAAGTTATCCTCCCACCTGGGCCTCCCAAAGTGCTGGGATCACAGGCATAAGCCACCATGCCCAGCCACAACTTGAATTTTTTTAAGTAATATTATATTGAATAATAATACTTAAGATTTTTGCCTTCTTTTTAAAGAATACCATGAAATATAGATGGTAATAAATATGAATTTTTAATGTACAAAAGTCTTCAGAGATAACAGTCCAACATATTTCAAAGTGTATTCTTTAAATTGTCTAATTTAGAATTACTGAGGCTTTTGTCCAATGAATCCAAATCTCTAGAGGTGGAGTCCAGGAATATCAATTCTTATAACACTCACAGATGTGCATCTGAAAGTTTGAGACCCATTAATCTAGTCTAATTTTTATCCTAGTCAGAAAATGTATCAGCAACATCTTCCAACAGATATCCCAAGCGAACCATCCCAACCCAGCATCCCGGAGCAAGCCAGTTTCTACTTAAACACTTCAGTAAGGCAGATCATGAGAGAATACTCATTCTATTTTCAGATGGCTCTAAATTCTGGAAAGTTCTTTCTTAATATCCTGTACCCCCAAACAGAATATTGGAGCCCTGAGTCCCTGGCCAAGTGTCATCTCTCATACTTTTTCACACAATACCCCTCCAACCTCTATCAGCGCCTTCACCATCTGAAAGACCAAGAACTACAAGCCTTGGGAACCCACCTTCCTCCTCATCAGGCCTAAGCCTGAGATGGAATGGCTGCTGGGCTCAGCTGCTGCCTCTGGTTCTGCTTTAGAGAAGCTGATATTTCTACAGCCTATGTTCAGGCTGACTTTGGAGACCAAAAATTTTATTCCAGGAGATTTTTGTTAATCCAAGCAGCTAGCAAGAACAACTCCTAGCCTGGGCAACATGGTGAAACCCCGTCTCTACAAAAAAATACAAAAATTAGCCAGGCGTGGAGATGTGTGCCTGTAGTCCCAGCTATTTGGGAGGCTGAGGCAGAAGGATTGCTTAAGCCAGGGAAGTGGAGGCTGCAGTGAACTGAAGTCACACCACTGCACTCCAGCCTGGGTGACAGCAAGAATTTATCTCAAAAAAAAAAAAAAAAAAAAGCAAGAATAACTTGTAATCCCAGCACTTTTGGAGGCTAAGGCAGGAGGATCGCTTGAGACCAAACTGGGCAACAAAGCAAAACCCTATCTCAACAAAAAATAAAAATAAAAAATTAGCAGGGCATACTGGCATGCACCTGTAGTCCCAGCTACTTGGGAGGCTGAGGCAGGAGGATTGCTCAGCCCAGGAGTTTGAGGCTGCAGTGTGCCGTGATTTCATTCCAGCCTATGTGACAGGGCAAGACCCTGTCTCAAAAGACACACAAACACACACACACACACACACACACACACACACACAGACACACACGTGCAAGTGCTCCCTTATCAAACTAGGCTAATAAACCTCTCTAGGTGAGAAGCTGAACATTTAACACAGAGGCAGAAACCACAGGCCCACTTTTTTTGAGAGCTTAAATGGGGAAGGATCTGCCATAAAATCATTTCGTTCCAGCCATATCCTCAGTTTTGGGGAAAAACAGAAGAGGGGTGTAATTCTGAGTGTTCTGAGGTAGTTCTAGATGCAGTTACTTCTGCTACTGTAATAAATAAATCCCCAAATTTCAGTGACTTAACAATAGTAACTCTCACCTTCATGCAGAGCAATGGCTGCCGGGGTGGGGCGTAGTCACTCGGGGACTCAGGCTAACAGAGGCCCCACTCTCTGAAAACACATTGCTTCCAAGGTCACCATGAATATTCGCGTTCAGCTAGCAGATAGAATGAGCCAGGGGTAGACAATTTTTAGGTTCATCCCCGAACATGCAGTATACTCATGCATCACTTAATGATGGGGATATGTTCTGAGAAATGTGTCCTTAGGTGATTTCGTCTTTGTGCTTACACAAACCTAGGTGGCATAGCCTACTACACACCTAGGCTAGATGGTATGGCCTGTTGCTCCTAGGCTACAAAACTGTACAGCATTTGACTGTACTGAATACTATAGGCATTGTAACACAGTGGTAAGCATTTGTGTATCTAAACACAGAAAAGGTACAGTAAAAATACAGTATTATCATCTGATGAAACCACTGTTGTATATGCATCCGCCCATTGACTGAAACGTCGTTATGCAGTGCGTGGTGGTACATCACTTTTGCCTCTGTACAATTCACAGAACTCAGGCATGTGGCCACACCTGGCTTCTAGAAGAGCTGGGAAATGCAGTCTGTTTGCCAAGGAGGAAAGGAAAATAATGTGACTCAACCTATCCAAGCTTCCGTCTACTATCAGACAGGCATCTGCAGGTTGTGTGAGTAATTATGGTGTCAGCCCGTCAGTAGATAAAAGCAAGAGGCCTCTAGGGTCTTTATTTCCTGGAGCGCTCTATGAAACTCTATTCTGCCAAATGTGCCCATGGATCTCTTAGAATCTTCCTTTGGTCTTCAACCTCCACAAATTCCTAAGACAAACTGAACACTTTTTTGAGGAATTGGTATTGCTACCAATTCCTTTCAAAAGTACTTCATGACATCAATTGTTATTGTTAGACCCTGTGTTTAAGCCAGTTTTATGGTGTTCGCTGTGTATGTCTCTCGGACTGTCAGATACACATTTTCCTGAATCCCAAGACACGAGGAAGGAGTCCCTTACTGTCTTCGTAAGAGAAGCCTTAGTGAAATCAGGTGTCTGATTCCCTCTGTCTAGGAAAGCCCTGGGGTAAGGTACCAGACCTTCCGCATTTCCTCAGCACTTAGCACTGTCACTTAGCAGGCACCCAATATAAGTATGTTATGTTGAATTCTATTAAACTGCTTCTAGGTTTAACAAGAGTCATTTAATTTTGTAACTCTCTCCAAGTGAGACAGGTTCTCACTCTGTCACCAAGGCTTAAGTATAGTGGTGCAATCACAGCTCACAGCAGCCTAAACCTCCCAGGCCCAAGCGATCCTCCCACCTCCACCTCCTGAGTAGCTGGGACTACAGATGTGTCACCCCACCTGACTAGTTTTAAAATTTTTTGTAGGGGCTGGGTCTTGCTATGTTTCTCAGGCTGGTTTCAAACTCCTGGCCTCAAGCAGTCGTCCCACCTTAGCCTCCCAAAGTGCTGGGATTACAGGTATGAGCCACCATGCTTAGCCTCTCTCCAATTTTTAATTGAAATTTTTATTGAGATAGTTGTAGGTTCACATGCAGAAATAATGTAGAAAATCCCCTGTGTATTTGCTTTGTTTCCTCCAATGGTAACATTTTGCAAAACTATAGTATACAGACAATCAGGATACTGACATAGACACAATCTACCAGTCTTATTCATATTCCTCTCGTTTTACCTGTACGTGTATGTGTGAAAGTGCTATGCAATTTTATCACCTGTGTAGGTTTGCACATCCATCACAACCAAGATGCAAAACAGTTTCAATGCCATAAGGATCTCTAGCGTTGTCCTTTTTTTTCTTTTTCTCTTTATTTATTTATTTTTTGAGCTGGAGTCTCGCTCTGTTGCCCAGGCTGGAGTGCAGTGGTGCGATCTCTGCTCACTACAACTTCCGTCTCCCGGGTTCAAGCAATTTTCCTGCCTCAGCCTCCTGAGTAGCTGGGACTACAGGTGTCTGCCACCAAGCTCGGCTAATTTTTTTTTTTTTTTTTGTATTTTTAGTAGAGACAGAGTTTCACCACGTTGGTCAGGCCGATCTCCAACTCCAGACCTCAAATGATCTGCCCACCTTGGCCTCCCAAAGTGCTGGGATTACAGGCATGAGCCATCTTGCCCAGCCCATTGCCGTTTTCTAACCACACTCACCTCCCTCCCACGCTTTCACCCTGAGTCCTTAACTCCTGGCAAACACTAATTCGCCCACCATCTGTAACATGTTACCTTTTAAAAATGTTGTATAAATAGAATTACACAGTATGTAACCTTTTGGAATTTTTTTTTTACTCAGTAATTCCCTGGTGAGTCAACCAAGTTGTTTTGTATACTAATAGTTGGCTCTTTTTCTTCTATTGCTGAGTATGCTATGCTATGTATGTACCACAGTTGGTTTAACCACTCACCTGTTGAAAGACATCTGGGCTGATTATAGTTTTGAACTATTACAAATAAAGCTATATATTCATGTACAGGTTTCTTCTATTTTTTATAGTTCTAGTTTTTAGGGAAATATTGTGACTGAAACTATCCATCAACCCTCATAGTCTGAAAAGTCCCGGTGCCCTCAGTAATAGCTATCTCTCCTTCCCTTTGCCACCGCCCCACCTCCTTTTTTTTGGCAGCACCCTCACTCCACCCCAGCATAGAGTTTAACCTCTCTGGCTTTATCTTCTTCATATGTCTTTTGTTGTGAAACGTTTATTTAGTAGTCCAGTTTTACTTTGTACCTAATAGACTTGGATTTGAACCTTGAATCTCCTTTCTCTTACTCACTGCTTTTTTTCTGGATCCTGAAACTTTTTTGCCCCACTCACTCTCACACTGAGCTCCCTGTGGGCCCCCGAGGTCCTCACTCTGGGCTAGGCCTCACCAAGGGAAAGAAGGTCAGATACATTCTTGCCTTTACCTCATATTTACTACGCAGAAACTCCTACTTTAGCCTGTTCATGGACACTCAGGAGATACCACTTTACATAAGCCACTAACTAGGTCAAGATTTATTCAGTTTACCAATATTATTTTGTACCTGTACTTATGGAATATCATAGTTTGCTTTGGAAGTAGAGCTGAATTCTGCATGTGCACAAAAAGACCATGATAGAGCAAATATTACCTGTCTTAGTTCACTGGGGCTACTGTGGCAAAATACCATAAACTGAATAGCTTATAAACAACTTAAATTTACTTCTCATAGTTCTGGGGTTTGGGAAGTCCAAGATTAAAGTGCCAGCAGATTTGATGTCTAGTGAGGCCTTATTTCCTGGTTCCATAGACTGTGTCTTCTTGGTGTATCTTCAAATCGTGGAAGAGCAAAGGAGCTCCCTGGGGTGTCTTTTGTCAGGGCACTCATTTCATTCATGAAGACCTTGCTCTCATGACTTAATCATCTCCCAAGAGGCCCCAGTTCCTAAAACCATTACGCTGGGGGTCGGGTTTCAACATATGAATCTGCGGGGAGGGTGGGGGTCGGGGGGGCAGGTAGGGAGGGAGACACAAACTTTCACACCATAGCAATACCCAAAGTATATAATTAATACTAATATAGACTGGGCTCAGTGGCTCACACCTGTAATCCCAGCACTTTGGGAGGCCAAGGTAGGGGACTTGCTTGAGCCCAGGAGTTTGTGACCAGCCTGGGCCACACATGGCAAAACGCTGTCTATACTAAAAATACAAAAAAATTAACCAGGTGTTAGTTGTGGCATGCACCTGTATTCCCAGCTACTTGGGAGGCTGAGGTGGGAGGATCACCTAAGTCTGTTAGTCAGAGGCTGCAGTAATCCATGATGGTACCACTGCACTCCAGCCTGAGCAACAGAGTGAGACCCTGTCTCCAAAAAAAAATTTTTTCTAGTACTAATGTAAAGGAAGGCTCTAGGGATGTTCCTTAGTCTCTATTCTTGTTTTTATACAGGATATAATTCACTTAGTTGCCTATATGAAGACCTAGAAGGTAAGGTCACTGAGGGACACCCTGATAGGACAAGATTGTTCTTAGCACCAAAATAACTCAGGGATCTGATATCCAAGCTATGGTAAGAGCCCTGCTCATGTGTCTGCCTGCCTAGTGCATACCTCCAGTCCTTATTGCTGGCCTTCATGTATATATGCTTGTTGGTAGAAGAACTAAGGCAGAACTGGCTTGTCTGTCATAATATAAAAGAGTCTTGGAAAATGTCCAGGGTCCAGGGTCTAAAACTCCTCGTGGCCTTTGGAACACCAAGCTCTGTGCCAAAGGGTGGAAGGCTGCCCTGCCGCACCACAAATCTAAGCCCAGAGCATAAAACCTCTCGTGGCTTTGATGGAATCCAGGGCTCATGACATAAAGCCCCTCGTGGCCTCTGGAATGTGCACAGACTTGCTGGTTGCTCTCCCAGGCTCATAAACATGTTCTCCATTGTTTCCAGCAGCAGAGCATATTCTATATGCGTCAAAGAAAACGCTAAACCGTCACAGCTACATTTGATGCACTACTACCTTTCTACCCCCGCATCCTCACGTCCTCACCACCTGCTTCTTTGTTTGATCACCAATAAATAGTGTGGGCTCCCAGAGCTCGAGGCCTTTGCAGCTTCCATACCAGCGTTGGCCCCCTGGACCCAACTTATGTACTCTTAACCTGTCTTTTCTCATTCCTTTGACTCCGCCAGACTTCGAAGCCCCCATGGCCTGGTGTTGGGTCTGATCACCCCAACATATGCTAGCTTTAGCTTACCTAAGAAATATTATAATTGTTCCAGATGGCCCCTGCATTACACGAGGAGGTAGGGCAAGAAAGAATACTGTGTACCTACTTTCCCTAAACTACCTCCAATGATTCACTCAACACCCAGCAGTAGAATTCTCTCCTTCAGGATAGATGTGAAGGCTGGATGCAGTAGTAATAACCCAGCTGGCTCCAGCTTCAGTTGCTTGTTCAAGGGGAAAGACCAAGGCATGAAGGTGGCCTCACAGTATCAAGCAGGACGTGCACCCCAGCAGCCCAGCCTGTGGCCAGGGCCATGTCCTGCTGATCAAGTGGAGAGATGGATATAATATTCTAAAGATCTGAAGACAGAGATAGCTGAAATTTAAGAATAAAAAATGTGAAAGTACAGAACAGGAGTCTTGTGGCTTAAGAGCAATTCACATGAAAAAGATCCACGGCTTTTTGTTAACAAAAAGTCCAACATGAACAAATAAAAATTTAAAATTATAATAGTTCCAAATAGAAATGAATTCTCTTGGTCCAGGATGGAAGGCTTCAGCTCAGTCTTGAAGGAAAAATAACATAAGACTTAAAAATCTAGACAAAAAGGAACAGAGAGAGCACTCCCAGTGGAGGGAATGACATGACTAAGCTGTGGTGGGATGCCTCTGACATAGACAGGAGAACATAAGAGACACACTTGACCAGTTAGGGAAATATCTTTTGGCTATTACCTCCCCCTGTAACAGATAAAATGAAAATAAACTATTCTCACTGCTATGGTCTGAATGTTTGAATATCCCCCTGTTCCATGCCTCCTCCCCCAAATTCATATGTTGAAACTTTATCCTCAATGGAATAATATTAAGGGTGGAGTCTTTGGGAGGTGATTAGGTCATGATGGCTCTGCCCCCATAAATGCATTTACTGCCCTTTTAAAAGGGGCACGAGGCTGGGCATGGTGGCTCACACCTGTAATCCTAGCACTATATATATATATACACATATATATATATACACACACATATATATACTATATATATATATATACACATATATATACACACATATATATACTATATATACACATATATACTATATATACACACATATACTATATATACATATATACTATATATACACATATATACTATATATATACATATATATACTATATATACACATATATATACTATATATATCCTAGCACTATATATATACACATATATATGTGTGTATATATGTATATGTATGTATATATATGTGTATATATACATATATAGTGCTAGGGTATATATTTTTTATATATATAATATATGTATATATAAAATATATATTTTTTAAACAAAACAAAAAGAGGCACAAGGGAGCTTGTTCCCTATCTTCTACTATGTAAGGACACATAGGAGGCACCATCTGTGAGGAAGGGGTCCTCACCAGACACTCAATCTTTTGGCACCTTGGTCTTGAACTTCCCAGCCTCCAGAACTGTGAGTAGTAAATTTCTATTGTTTATAAATTACCCAGTATAAGCTATTTTGTTTAAAAAAGCCCAAATAGATTGAGACATTCACTACTGAAGGGTCCCTAAACTTGTAGAAATTATTTCCCAATAGTTTTTCTGCATTTTAAAAAATAATGAAATTCTTACAAAAGAGATCCAAGTTGCTTATTTTAGTTTAAACTCACAGTGTTATTTTTATGGCTACAGCAGAGTGACTGTGTGCTTATTCATTAAAATTCCCAGAAAACCTTAAGCCTTGATAAATTTATACTTCAGGCCTTTGGACTTCTCTTTTCTTGCCTTGATTTTAGGTATTGACTGAATGTCAATATCTAAATGTCAAGTTGAATATCAGTCAGAGTTGGGGAACATTAAGTTGCTGTTATGCTAAAGGCCTTAGGCTGGGAGAGAGGGGATTAAAAGATGATTTTAGATTATAGGATAGGGGTTCATGAAAGCATCTCTGAAAAAAAGTCCAAATCACCAAAAGCTGGATTATCCGTAAGGAAATCTCATTAGAAATGATTTTAGCTGGTGAGTCTACCAGTCAGGATAGTTGCCAAGTTATTTGCTTCCATGAGCAAGGAGTCTGAAAAATTGACTTTAGATGGTTAGTCAGTCACTGATGCTCATACGGAGATCTGCCAAAGAATCTTTGAGGCACAGAGAGCCACATGGCTGCAGAAGGCCTCAATCCAAATTCTCAAAATATTAGGAAAATACATGAATAGGACTAGTAAATATACTGTTTATATTCCTTAGAGGTAACATTAACTATTTTTTTTCTGTTGCTTTAGGCAAAGATTTTTGCTTAAGGCAAAAATAAAAGAGATGCCAGAAATGTATTACTGTAAATAAACACCACTGCTATGTGTGAAAAGATCAATCATTCACTCAACAAGCATTTATTAAGCATGAGTGTTAAGTTCTGGAGACACAAAGATGAATAAACCAAAGTTTTTGCCCTCAAACAGCTCATAGCTTAGAGCAGAAGTCAATAATTGCAAAACTTTTATAGGGCAACAGCCCCCAACCTTGTTGGCACTAGGAACTGGTTTCCTGGAAGACAATTTCTACATGAAAGAATTAGAGGGGAAGGGGTTTTGGGATGAAACTGTTCCACCTTAGATCATCAGGCATTGGATTCTCATAAAGAGAATGCAACCAGCTGGGTGTGGTGGCTCATGCCTGTAATCCCAGCACTTTGGGAGGCCAAGGCAGGTGGATCGCCTGAAGTCAGGAGTTCGAGACCAGCCTGGCCAACATGGTGAAACACCGTCTCTACTAAAAATACAAAAATTAGCTGGACGTGGTGGCCTATGCCTGTAATCCCAGCTACCCAGGAGGCTGAGGCAGGAGAATCGCTGGAACCCGGGAGGCAAAGGCTGCAGTGAGCTGAGGTCTCGCCACTGCACTCCAACCTGGGCGACAGAGCAAGACTCTATCTCAAAAAAAAAAGAGAGAATGCAACCTAGATCCCTTACATGCACAGTTCACAATAGGGTTCCCACTCCTATGAGAATCTAATGCCACTGCTTATCTGACAGGAGGCAGAGCTCAGGCGGTAATGCTCACTTCTGTGACCCTCACCTCCTGCTGCACAGCCCAGCTCCTAACAGGCCATGGACCTGTGCCCAGCTGCAGCCTGGATGTTGGGCACCCCTGTAATATAGGGGCTATAATGGAGGCAAGCATAAAGCATGGAGAAGGCACAGAGAAGGAAGCAAGTTTGGAGAGGATAGTCAGGGAAGGACTGATGGAAAAGACCTTTGGACTGCATCTCAGAAGATGAAGAGGAGTCACCCCATGCAAGCACTGCATTCTGAACAGGGGAAAAGCATCCCGAAGCATCCCAGAGCATGAAGGTGTGCAACCAATTTCACATCAATTCAGTTAGTAAGCTCTTCATAGCATAACTTTAGCATAACTTCTTTTATTTAGATGTTTCCTTTTTAAATTCACTTTTTTTAATGTTTCAGAGAAAGTATGTGGGAGTAGGGTTGGGGTGTTACTCGATGGACAGCCAAAGCAATCTACCATTATGGAGTCTAAAGTACTCGCGATGAGATCTTCTGAATGTAATCTGCCAACCTTGTTTCCCTAAGGGAATCTTTGGCAGAACTATATAAATGAGATCATGACCATTAGAAAAATAGTATTTTAAACTCTGGTCTTTATCTCAAAGAAGAAAAATATTCTTTTTGAAAATCACATAGTCAGCTTTTGACTATTCAGAGAAATCAGGCTGAAAATTAGGATAATGAAACCAGGAAAAATAGGGAAAAGGAAAAAGGAAACAACAGATAACTTAAATTTAAAAAAAAAAATTAGAATAAAGTAGAAGAATTAAAATCAAGCATATTTTTTACATTAACTGTGAATGGACTGAATTTGCCAATTAAAGTCAGAACTGGGTGATTGAATTTAAGCAATTAAAACTGACCTGGCCAGGCACGGTGGCTCATACCTGTAATCCCAGCACTTTGGGAGGCCGAGGTTGGCGGATCATGAGGTCATGAGATTGAGACCATCCTGGCTAATACCGTGAAACCCCATCTCTACTAAAAAGAAAAAAAAATACAAAAAATTAGCTGGGCATGGTGGCACGCTCCTGTAGTCGCAGCTACTCAGGAGGCTAAGGCAGGAGAACCATTTGAACCCGGGAGGCGGAGGTGGAAGTGAGCAGAGATCGTGCCACTGCACTCCAGCCTGGGCAACAGAGCAAGACTCCATCTCAAAACAACAACAACAACAACAACAACAAAAACTGACCTAAATGCTATTCCTAAGAAATACTTGAAACACAAGGACACAAAGGAAGTTGGATGTTAATTGAAATGTGTAAGTTATCTCAGAATGCACATTTGCTCATAATTTTAACTTCTTTCCTCCATCAAACTTCTTGCTTAAAATGAAGTTATAAAAATCAAAGTAGCAGTTATAAGTACTACTAATACTCATCTACAACAAAATTGTCTAACAGAAATATAAAGACTATGTCTTATATTTAGGGTCTTATATAATAGGGTTTATTGAGGAATATAGAAATTACATTTGATACTTCTACAGAGAAAATTTAATACAAGAAATGGGTTACACAGGTGTTGGAGGGATGAAAGAACAATAAGAGATCAATGAAGTGACGGAGATAATAATGGCAGGAAACAGCTGCCACTGCTATGGTTGGTGAAGCAAGAGAAAAGTTGGGGATCTCAGAATCTACATGTTTGGAAAAGACGTCATGGCCTTGGGTCTTGGAAAGGGGGTGCTGCCCAGCTGGTGCTGATGTCTCAGAAGGAGTGAAAGGTAGTTGATTCTGGGCATACCAGAAAAAAGCTAGAGTCTGTAACCAGCTGTCCCTGCTGGGATTAAGGGCTGTTTCTGGAGTGATACTGATGAATAGAGCAAACCTAACAGGAAGAAAGAATTCCCTTTTCCTTGTTTTAGTTCATTTGCACTATTATAACAAAATACCCAAGGCTGGGTAATTGATAAAGCACAGAACTTTATTTTCTCGCAGTTCTGGAGGCTGGGACATCCAAGTTCAAGGCACAAGCAGGTTCAGTGTCCAGTGAGAGCCCTGTCTATGCTTCCAGAATGGTACTTTCTTGCTGCATCCTCTGGAGAGACGAATGCTGTGTCCCTACATGGCAGAAAGTGGAAGAGCAAAGCATGAAGCCTCTTTTATAAGGTCCTTAGCCCATTCACAAAGCAGGGTAGCCCTCATGACCTAATCTCCTCTTAAAGGATCCATCTCTTAATTCTATCATGTTGAACATTAAGTTTCGACACCTGTATTTGGAGGGGCACATTCAAATCATAGCACCCCTCTTTCTGCCCTTTTAATAACATCTTCTCTTGGCAGAGTCCAACAAGAAGCCAGCTGGTAAAGAAGGGTGGATTTGGAGTTGAGTTATTATAGGTAAATTACCAGTACTGTCCATCCCTATACGTGTTCACACATGAAAACAAGACACTCCTCTGTATATGTTTGAACTTCCAAATCTCGCCACTAACATCTTTATGCTTCTGCCTGACAAGATGCAAGTACCCTTAGTATAAATGAAGACACTCCAACACCCGTCTCCTCCCCAAAAAAGAAGGCACGAAGTTACAGGAGTCATGATATTCACTTATGGCAGAGGACCACAGTATTTCTGAAGGATGTTAATTCTTCTACTTCAGTCATAATCCCGCCTGTCTGTAGAGTATAATACAAAGACTGTATTATAAAGTTACCCAGTAAGAGGAAAAAAGGAGGAATAAACAAATAAATTAGCCAGGAAGAAAATGTACAGAGCTGTGACAATCTTTCACCCCTTCTGAGGCATCAGCACCAGCTGGGCAGCATCCCCTTTCCAAGACCCAAGGCCATGACCTCTTTCCCAACGTGTAGATTCTGAGAGCCCCAACTTTTCTCTTGCTTCCCCAACCACAGCAGTGGCAGCTGTTTCCTGCCATTATTATCTCCTTCACTTCATTGATCTCTTATTGTTCTTTCATCCCTCCAACACTTGTGTGACCAATTTCTTGTATTAAATTTTCTCTGTAGAAGTATCAAATGTAATTTCTATATTCCTCAATGAATATAGGAATGTGTCTTCTCCAAATTCATCGTTGATATTTTTACCTTATGAAATGGCCCACATTTACTCTCAAAGATCTGAATCCTCAATTGTCCTTTCTTTATTTGATTGCAGCTGTGTTTTTCATCAGCTTTTACTATTGGATAAGTTCTAAGGGGTGCCCCTAGAGACTCCTCTGGCTTCCAGACATAGTTGTCTCTGCCTCACTGCATGGCAGCAACCCAATTTCTCCTGCATAGTTAGGATCCATCTCCCCAGCCAGTTAGGTAACTTCTTTGCCTGTTTACCTAAGATTTTTGAACACTTAATCCGCTGCTAGTCCAGAATTAAATATGTGAAATTTTACTCTATTTATAAGCTAACAAGTTAGCTTATCACAGTTTTGTGGATACTAGCAGAATAAAAGTCTCCTGGATCAGACACAAAGGATTGTAATAAGCAAAGGATTGTTTATTACTCAGAGGAATATCAGTAGCCAGAGAATCCAGCATTTTTCACCAGTTCTCTGAGCCCTAATTCCCACAGAACAGCATGAAGAAGGCCAGATGACACACGCAAACAAAGTGGGTTTCGTTACAGGAGAGGAACCCTGCATTTAGGTAATTTGAATCTTTTCTAATAGCCAGTGAGCATACTCTTTGTTCTGAAGAAAGACACTATCTCTGCTTTCCAAAGCTGTAAAAAAACGTGATGCTTAGGCCAGGTGCAGCGGCTCACGCCTGTAATCCCAGCACATTAGGAGGCCAAGGTGGGTGGATCACCTGAGGTCAGGAGTTCGAGACCAGCCTGACCAACATGGTGAAACTCTGTCTCTACTAAAAATACAAAATTAGCCAGGCATGGTGACAGGCGCCTGTAATCCCGGGTACTCGGGAGGCTGAGGCAGCAGAATCACTTGAACCCGGGAGATGGAGGTTGCAGTGAGCTGAGACTGTACCACTGCACTCCAGTCTGGACAACAAGAGCGAAACTCCATCTCAGAAAAAAAAAAAGAAA